>NC_000012.12:40793461-40944976 GCF_000001405.40 Homo sapiens | reverse complement strand
TTCATTTGTGCTTCTTTTTTATATTAATAACTGACTTCTAAAATAAAAGTTTTCCTAATTATGCCTATGTTCTAAATATGTCCTTAGTCTTACAAATGTTTGCTTTTCTAAAGAAGAGGCTGATAGGGCCAGTGATTAATTTACTTTTTAAATACACTGTAACCTAGACAGCCTACCAAGACACCAACAATGTTCTTACACAAGTTGTTTTGCCTGCATTACTTCTCAGTCTTTTCCCTCTATTTTATTTCTTTCTACACCTTGACTCTCTATATCACTATGTTTAACTATAGGACTTGTAGAATGTAACACCTTTCAATTCTTAAAATATAGCCATTTAACCCTCTTCAAATCACATAAACTAATTCTCCAAATTCTCCAACATATATAATTTTGTCTCTTTCTTACTCTTAAAGCATAACATAAATGCTTTAAGATCATCATTATAACAAAGATTAAGTTCTATGCTCTTCATTTAAAGTAAAAAGGAAGGCACTAGAACCAAGGGCACATATATACTGATGTAATACACATCAATTGTATTAAAATTAAGGGGGAAATCATACCTAAAGCCCAATTAATATTAATTGATTAATATTTATACCAAAATCCTCAGGGCTAGCCATTTTAGAAAGATTTAGCAGTACAACAGTTAATATAAGGAGAACCACAGAAAGCTTTTTTGCCTGCTTTTTGGTCTCATGAAAAACAAAGATGATATAAAATGTGATTATAGTAATAGAACTTTCAATGCAGACACATAGGAATCACTGGGGTGTTAATAAGATGAAACTTAAAACACATACCATAAAATTCCTCTGGTAGTGAATATTCTCTTTGTTAAAATCGATCACATAGCCATTGAAGGACCAAACAAATGTGAGATCCAAGGCAGGATCAAAGGACGCAGCACACTGCATGGTGGCGTTTTCTCCAACTGTGATATCGGCATTAATTGGGGCCAATATAATTCGCGTAGGATCTATATATTTTTAAATGTAAAGCACAATTCAAGAAGATATAAGACACAATATTATCTGGTATATTAAAATAATAACCAATATATTTTTATTTGTGCAAAATAATAAGATGTTTTCACTTCCAAATTCCAAGAACAATATCATCAAGCAAGAAACTTGCCTGAAATTCTTTTGAAAAAGAAACTTACAAATACATTGACTGTTTAGATGCTTAGTGCTGAATCATGTTTTTTAATACATTAGAAATTAAGCACCCTCAAACATTAACTTACCTGTGATAACAAGGGTTCCAGTGCTATTAGCTTTCCCTCTGTTATTTTCTGCAAAGCATGTATAGATACCTCCATCATTCCTTGTAATGTTGTTGATTTCCAAGCTACCATCTTCCCAAATGAGTATTCTAGTGAAATAAAAATATATATAATTCACAAACCTGATTTAGTAAAATACATTATTATGTCTTAGATTACAAACACTAATATTTTTCAATTATTACATTCTATATAAATCATGCGACCACAGACATTTTTGTAAGATGACAAATTCTAGCCTTTAGTTATAATATTTTTTCTCATCATTGACATTTTGTTTTGGAAATCCACTTTCATCTTTTTCTTGAACTATTGCCGTAGTCTTCTAACTGACCTTCCACTATGGGACAGGCTGAAATCAGTCATAGGCCTGAAAGAAATGAGCCCCGGTCTCCCAGAAATGTAACCTCAGGACTTCAATTCAGACTAGGAGGTGAGGACAGATTGCCATTTCCATGGCTACAGAGAAATATAAATGTATTTTATTTTTAGAAACTTTAAAAAATATTTTAAAACCTCCTTAGTAACAACTTCTGGAACAAATTAATATTTAGGAAATTCTTCTTTGAACAGAAACTAAGTCTTTCATACTACACATATTTCCCTACCTGTCAGCCTCTTCCTCAGGGGATGGACACTAAAAACTCACTAAGTTTTATTGTATAGAAACTCACACTTAGATTAAATATTGAATTGCCTGTCATTGGATTTTTTACTTTCTTTAAATAGATAATTTTCAAAACTAAATTATCTTTGAAAGTTTGCACAAAACATGCAAACGTATATCCATTTTAAGGGCAAAGTCTGATAAAAGAAGCAAAACTATCTACCTTACTGATAAAAATCTTCATATAAGAAAATAACAAAATTTCCGCTAACATTATAGTCCAGGATTTCCTTTCCTTTCTTGAACAATCCAGTCCTGACTTGAAGCTCATTTCAGAGTACTTTTTGTTGTTGAAGGAGAAATGAAGTATCAAAATAATATAATGATAAAAGTAATTATTTAAGATCATGGAAGCTCTGAGAATATGCCACTCTCCAACTCTGAGGAGTGTAATTTATTCTCTGTCCCAGACGCCGTACTCAGAAATCCATCACTGTGTTTATTCAAAGCCACACATTCCACAGGCTGTTCTTAGCCAATGACTGACCATGGGAGGAATTTTAAACCAGGCCTGCTCCTGGAAGACAGCAAACTCCTCTGATATGCATTTTTGAATGGAAGACTTTCCAGTGGCATGACCATACTCTTAGAAGTGCAGTGCAGTCCAAGTCATTTCAACACAATCTTTTTTCCTTCCTTCCCTCTGTCCTTCATCTGGGATCAGACCTGTATCTCAGTAAAATACTTTTCCAAGCCTCCACCAGCTTCCTCTCTATTTTCCCTCCCATGCATTGCCATTAATTAATTTCTTACATAGCTAATCTTCCTGGCTTCAGCTTCTTGGAGGACACATATTAACACAGTACCAATATTAATGGGTCACACTTTTTCTCACTACCCTCTAGTATAAATCCTCAGCCAAGTTCCCACATCCCTTTCATTTAATTATTTTTCAAGAAGCACAACAAAAATTATAATGAAGTAGCAGTGGAAAAAACAATGATGATTCTTTCTTAAATCATGCTAATATTTTTAGCTTACTTATGTTAGTTTTCAATTGATCTTTTACCATCTTTAAAGGGTATACATAATTCCATGTGTCATTCGTCTCATTTATACTTTCAGGTACTTTGCCTTTGAGATTAAAATTACTTTTTAATAAAAATATTTAGAAAACCTGATTTTTTTGTAATAATTCTCTTTATTCTTAAAGTAATATAGACTAAACTCTCAAGATCTTATCCTTATTTCCAGATACTATGATATAGATCAGCTGTCAAACAAACTAGGAACAATCTGGTCTTTAACCAATTGGTCACTTATTGGTACCAAAATTACTCCAGAATAACCTCTGGAGTAGAAAAGACTAATGAAGATCCCTTCCTATAAGTGGTTTAAATAAAAGTGACCTTAGAGCTAATAGCAATCCATTGAATTTAAATTAGCAACTAACTTAATTCTGCTAATTACAAAGAAATTCTGCTGCAGAAAATATATCATTTGAGCCAAAAATAAAATCATAAAATGAAAACCTAATTACTATTTATCAAGATACATAGCTTCTTCCAAATATCATATAAACCACTCTTTAGGCACTAACCAGATACAGAAATAACTTAGTTACGTGGAAATGTTGTTTATAATTATATTCAGAAGAATAAGATTATATTTATGCTTAAAGACCAATATTTAGTTAGTCCTTGTGTATTCTTTTTCAAAATAGACACCAAAATTTTTATGTTTAGCTTTTTATACATCTTATTTTACAATTCAAATATATTTGCATATGAATACTATATCTACTATTAAATAGTATTTACACTGAGATAGTAATGGGTTAAAGTACTAAGTAAAAATTAGATTTATAGACTCTTTAATCAAGGAAATAATGCAATTTGATTTCAAAGGCTTTAAAAATATCAGAACACAATCAAACTTGTAAAATTTCAGGAGCTAGATCTTTCTCTTCTTTTTTTGAACACATATTGATATTTAGGAAAAACAAGTCCATGAAACATAGTTCTGGGAAATCCTTGGTTGAAGAGGTCCATGACATGGGTCTTCATCAGAATCAGAAAAAGATTTTATTATCACGGAAGAGAACTAATGGTTTGTCCATTGGGGAATGCCCTGCTCTAGGCTGTGGAAGGAGTAAGCACCTACACATGTAGCTGCCCTTTGATCATGGTCTCTGCATTGCTCATTGTCTGACCATTAATGTTTCAGCGGCAAATTGAACAAATGGACTTTTCCTTTAACCCTTCTTGTAGTATCATTTTGTTAAAATCTTAACAACCCTGAGGTCAAACATATTAACTTTAAAAGTCAGTGTGTTCAGGGAAGCCCCTGATGTCCCTGCCCTCTTGCCCCATTCCATAAACAGCCGTGCCTGTGCTCATCCTAATAAGAGGGCTGTGCTGGCATATTCTCAATTTATATCAATGTCTTACAACTTCAAGTTCTAGTTTAGATAGCATGAATATATTTTTGCAGAAGGTCACTTTAACTTTACCAAGCTTTAGACACATCAAAATATGGATGATAATTCCCATGTTACTTTATTGGGTTACTGTGAAGAAAATAATGTATTTTCTACATCTGAGTAATAACAGTCTTTCAAATGACAAAAGTGATCCTTGTCCTCCCTTGTTTAAGACTTTAAACAGATTTATATTACTCTTAGATGAAGCCCAAGCCCCTTAGCATAGAAAACTTTGTCATTTATGATGTGGCTTACTATGTCTCATCTCTTAAAAGTCTCCTCCATTTTCCTCTAAAGACAAATCACACTGATTTCAGTTTCTGCAATTTCTTACACATTCTAAACTCCTCACCATAGGGCCTTTGTACATGCTGCCCTCACATTCACATACACCCTCACATACACCCTCACATACACCCTCAAGCCAACCCACACATCCCATCCCTCCCATTTCCCATCCTGGCTTTCTCCTCGTCATAATTTTTGCACTCAATATTACTTCTTCTAGGATACATATAAACTATTCAGTGTGGCTTTTATACAAATAATCTATATAAGTTGTACACTGCTTTTTCATTTTGTCCCCAAACCACCAAAACATTGGTAGATGGTCCATTTATAAGGAAGATGATGATAACATCTTGTTCATTTTGAGATAGGAAGAGATTATTTGCACTTTGAAATCACCTTTTTATTTTTCTACAAAAATATTTAATAGGCTAACTGCACAAAATTCAGTTGAATATGAATGGATATAGATGCCAGATGCCTATACTGGGGAAAAATATGTTAGAGAGATCCTACTTTATTTCCCATTGTTTATTAGCTGTGTGACATTGGGCAATTTATAACAACAAGACAACAAAAAAACACCTCTGAGCTTCAATTTTCTAAATTCCTTATACATTATAGAGTCCTGTTAATTAAACCTTCATTATAATAGATACTGACAGGGATAGGTATTTCTGTCCATCTTAGAACTACAGGATCTTCTGTGAAAAAAAAAATTCAGAGCAAAAAACATTTTCATTATTAACATATAAACAAGTCTTCTATAAAATAAACTTTTTCAAACAGATTTTGCAATTGGATTTCTAGTTTCAGCACTGACCTGCTGCTATTGACAAGCCACTCTGTCCCTTTACTCCATGAAAACTTTGGTTTCGGTGCAGCTTTAGGTTTGCATTCAATTATCACCCTTCCACCTTTAGCAGCCAGGATCTTTTTCTTCATAGGATTCATTTCAAAAGTTGGAGCCAACGCTAAAAAGAAAACAAATTGTTATCTTTCTCTTTCTGTTTGTAAAGCCTAAACATTGCTTCTGTGTTGTAGAATCTTTTATTCTCCTTAATAGTTAATGGAAAGGATTAATCTCGGTAAATATGATCAGCTGTCACCAATAGGCATTCTATACCTAATGCTTTGTAACTTTTATTTAATAACTTTGACTTATAAAATTCACCCAATTCAAATGTACAATTCTTGATGATAACTGAATTGATTATTAGAAACTTTAATTAGAATCCAGGCATGGGTGGCTCACACCTATAATCCCAGCAGTTTCAGAGGCTGAGGTGGGCAGATGGCTTACCCAGGAGTTTGAGAGCAGACTGGGTAACACGGCAAAACTCCATCTCTACCTAAAATACAAAAAAATTAGCTGGGCATGTTGGTGCATGCCTGTAGTCCCAGCTATCCAGGAGGCTGAGGTGGAGGATCACCTGAACCTAGAAGGTCAAGGCTGCAGTGAAGCGTGATCGCCTCACTGCACTCCAGGCTGGGCAACACCGTGAGACCCTGTCTCAATAAATAAATAACTTCAATTTCAATCAAATGTTTTATACACATTTACCTTAAAATTAACTCTGAATTCTGTTGCTTTGACTCAATTCCACAAGGAAAGTAAAGTGAAAGGCTGGAAAAAATTGACCAGCATTATACACACTGACATATGGTCCTAGTCAATCCTCTAAACCACATGTTGAATGAACTATTCCCAGTTTATAAATGAGAAAATTGAAATCTATTAGGATTATTTAATTTGGCAAAGGTACCACAGGTAGTAATAAGTGGGAGTCACATTTGAATCTAGGTCCTTCTGTTTCCAAAGCATGTACTTTTCATTAAACAATGCAGTCTCTCCTTCTTTATACAATTACTGAGCATCATCTGTATGCAAACACCCTGCAAAATGCCAAAATAATTGGAGTCCTGCTTTCAGGATCTATCTATAAACAGCTATGGGAATAATGGATCTAATCAACTAATTAAGGAGACATGATCATTTGTAGTTCATCATTACCTCCAAGTACAGAGCAATAATTATTAGAACAGAATACAGAGGCTTAAAAAAGGTTACTTCATTGATGTCATGCTCAGACTTTCCTCAGCATCCACACATTTAATCCACTGCTCACTCTCCTCTTCCCTTGGCAGACTCCAAGCAGATTTCATCCATATATTTCAACACATTACAATCATCCGTAACTATGTACTTTCTGGAGGCTTTTCTAGGCCTAAGCATATCTTCATCTGGGTTTTGACTCTTCATCCTCTGGTCTGGTCATTCTCAAAATTATCTTTGTATTAAAATCATCTGGGTATCTTTTTAAAGTGTCCATTCAGTAGGTCTGGGGTGAGCCTGGGATTCTGCACTTCTAATGTGCTCCTAGGTATGGCCACTGCTGCTGATGCTCTGAAGAAGACTTTTGTTGTGGCAAAGATTCATTCTATTCCATTGTTTCGTTAGTCTGAATTATGATAATTAGCAATAAATAAATCAGTAAACAACCAACATATGTTGTACACCTAACACAATACTGGGTATTTTGTGTAGGCTCAATAAACATTTTGTGTGATATGACATATTGCTTTAACAATGTTTAACAGAAATTAGAAATGATACTGACCCAAGATCTTCAACTCAGCATTTGCATAAATGGCTCCATATGTGTTTTCAGCTATGCACTGATACATTCCGGCATTTTCAAAAGTCACATCATACAGTCTTAATTCCCCTTTATGATACTGAAAAGAATAAAATTGAAACATATTCTCAATGAACTTTAATAGAAATACTTTCACTTAGGTCTGGGTTTGGTTGTCTTTTCATTTAGATACATTATGTTCATCTGCCCCCACTGTTACCTAAGATGAACTGAGTGGGATTTTCATGGCATGGGAAAGGAAAACCCACTTACCATGCCCAAAGGCTCTTGTTCTATTCATCCTACAGAGCTGAGAGTCCACCTTTTCCCCTCTTGGACCAGCTGGGAGATTACAGTGGGAAGGTAGAGAAGAATCCCACTGCTGCTACTTGTCCCCAGGGCCAAAGGTAGGACTTAGAGCTTCACTCTTACCTCTGTCTCTGTGGGGTACAGGAAAATAGTGGCAAGAAAAAGAGGACAATATCAGGTATTGGAGATGGATGAGTAGGAAGAGGGTGGAAAAGTGGAACAAAGGAAAAAAATAAGGAGAGAGAGAGAGAGAAGGTAGAGTAAGATTACAGAAAGTTGTTTAAACTGAAAGAAGATACTTTATGTTCAGTTTTTGTCTTTTTTAGGAAGCTTTTATATTTCAGGGCCCAAGTGCCCTTTCTGTATTGTCTCTCCTGCTAAATTTATCCCAGGACTACCCTGAAACACTGCTTGAACAGGGACTCAGGAACAGCAAAGCACTTGAACATACATACCGCATATCCATTTTTCAACCATCGGATTGTAGGGATGGGCTTTCCTGTGGCCACACAAGGCCAGTAGAGATCACTGCCTATGTCCACCTCTGTGTCATTGATGTGTTCTACCCACTCAGGGAATGCTAAAAAGTAAGGAACATTGTAAATGTTAAATGAAGGGCTCAAGATCCATCATAATCTCCAGAGTATAAATATTACATTTAGTTAACCTAATTCTGCAGAATACATCAGATAGTGTATGCATCCTGAACTCAGTAATAGGCCTTGTCTTTGCATAGGCTTAACCTACGCAAATCCTGTATTATTACAGCAGGAGGTAACTATAACTCAGCCATTATTTTTCCATTTGTAAATCATGTTTTGTTGAAAAGCTGAGTTATAATTATTACTAAAATAACTGATTTTTTTCTGCTCATAACATAAACCTTTCAAGTCTGTCAAAATGATAATTGAGGTTTTAAAGAATTACATCTCAATTCAATATGATACCATCTCTTAACATTTTGGATAAAGACTCAGATATTTTTCCCACTCCCTCAGGTATACATTATCTTCATTTTGATGGAACTTTCAGCTAGTGGCCACGGTAACATCTCACTTTGGCGCTAGAAAAATGACTTGGACACCTAAATATACTCTTTCCATATTAGAAACTATATACAGTAGCCATGATTGGTGAAATCCATGCATTGGTAAAATTGATCTCAGTCTCATTCTTTAGTCTGATCTACTTGATAGCTAAAGAGACATCCATAAAAATGAGAAAATGCTAAAAATTTTCCAAAGAAAAAATATTTTTAGAGAACAAGCAAATAAACAATTTGACAGTCTTTTTGATTATTTCAGTTATCTAGTCCAAATAAATGCAGATAAATAAATTAATACAAAAAGGAAGTAGGAAGAAAGAATCCTGAGTGGAGAATAATATTTAATTTTCTTTGAAACTGGGAACTTGTGTTAATTTTATGGCAAAAGCAATATATGCATCTTATAAAAAACATTTAACAAGTAATAAAATACTAGAAATTTAAAAACTAGAAAACATTTTTATCTCACCAAATACCATCAACATTATACATTATAATGTATACATTATACATGTAGACATATGTACACCTATATATCTTAAAGCATATATAATCTTATTTAGTACATGTTTTCACTCATCATTATATTTGTAACATAGGGAGATATTTTTTAAACTATTGGTGGATATGTTCATTGTAAGGGAGAAAGGTTTTATTTTGTATACAATCTTAGCAATACATAATACAGGAATATCAGCACCCTTCCTGTCTTGGCCTCACAAAGACAACACAGACATTTTCTATTACATCATGTAATGAATAATTGAATTGGCTTGACACAGTCTATATATGGCTTAATTATGTAACCTTCTAGTGATGTGATCAGACCTAAAGATAATACTTAGTATGCTGCATTAGTAAAGAATAAATAATATTTCTCTTAAATTACCTTCTGTAAATATGTGCTCTGTCACCTTGGTTCTTCTAAGGCTTTAGATATTAGACAGTTCAAAATTTTACTCTGTTGAGAACCTGGAGTGTAGTTTTCTTAATATGTTGAATAAAAACAGGTCTATAAGCTTTAGAAACCTAGTAGAAAGTGGTGGATTTATTTCAAAAGTTTAAAGGACCTTACCTAGTATTTTCTTCCTTTTAGGAGGCCATTTCATGCAGACTTGATATGTATTGCATTAATGTTACTGTGGCATTGGACATACGAGTCTGAAGTTCAGAGTAAATGTTTGGGTTAGAGCATTCAGGGTACAGAGTGTGTCTAAAGCCATGATCACGAGTGGGATCATAAATGGAGTGACTGAAATGGAGATGGGGTTCACAGATGGAACCCTGATCACACCAATGTTAGAAAAGTATGGAGTTGAAAGGCAATGGAGAATGAAAGATTATACAAGGAAATTAATAACAAAGTAGGTTGCAGACATGAAGTGCAGAAAGTGAATCATGAAGAAGGGAGGGACCAACTGTGGCAACCACTGCTGTTAGATCAAAAAAAAGTACAACTGAGAATTGATCATTAGCTTTAGCAATATGGAAGTCTGTGGTCATGAAAAGAAAGGTTTCTGTGGAGAGGCAGAGATGCAAATCATGTTGGAGTGCAATTAAGAGAGAAGAAAAACTGGAGATGGAGACAACACTTTTAGAGAGAATGCGTGAATCTGTCAAATTTTTTATTCCTTTTTGGGAGAGACGGGAGAAAGTGAAATGGGACAGTAGCCAGAGTTAAAAACGAATAATATTGTGGAAGCCCTCGATGTTTATTCACTTGTGACCTGCAAAGTTCATGTTGTGGAACATTATAGAAATTATTTCAGTCTGGAAAGTTTCCAGTGTGGCCTGAAAAAAAATCTGTCTTCCCAAATGTAAGTTTATTTTAATGTGTGAAAATCAAAGGTTTGTGCCATGATAATTTTGTCAAAAAAAAAAAAAAAGATTTCTTAAACCAGTGGTTCTCAAAGTGTGACTCCAGGACCAATATTATCAGCATCCTTTGGGAATTTGTTAAAAATACAAATTCATGAGCCCCTAACAGACCTCTGAATGAAAAATTCTGAGAGTTTGGCCCAGCAATCTGTTTTAACAAGCCCTCCATGTGATTTTGATGCATGCTTAAGTTTGCAAACCACTGACTTAAACTAAGTCATAACACATAGCTTCTTCTATAAATAAAAAGATACTGAAAAAAGACAGTGATAAAATGAGTAAACAAACTACATTAAGTGTATATTCTGAAAATTACCAATAACACTTCTATCAATCTATTGCTATTACCTATGGTTCAACTGGTAATAAGTTCGTAACTTCTATAACTCATAGTTGTGACTTCATTAGACATATGAGAAATATTTTATCTTTCTCCATGATGTAACATGCATCACTGTTTTTAAAACCATTAATCATTATATAGTAGTTTTTCATGTATGGAAATGGCTCTAAATAAGATACTGATGAAATTTATACAAAATTAAAATAATGTATCTACCTTGAACATAAATTCTTGCTTGATGTTTATCCTTTCCTCTAATGTTCTCAGCCTCACATTCATAGATGCCTTCATCTTCTAGCTGAATATTGAAGATCTTAAGAACAGCCCCAGAGGTGCTAATCTCAGCAGTGCTTGGCATTGGTTCTAGAACCTTCCGCCATCGGATATCCGGAACAGGACTTTAAATAGAAGATACAAGGGTTAAAGTTTCACACACTTAAAAGACAATTACTTTATGTTTATAGCTAAACAATTATTTATTTCCTAAAATGGTACTATTTCTATATATATTAATAAAAGTGTCAGTATACTTACTTTCCAAGTGCAAAACATTCTAAGGTCACATTTTGGCCCATCAATGCATATACATCCTTGAACTGAACTACAATATCAGCAGGATATGGTTTTGTTGTTCCTAATATTAAGAGAAACACAAATATCCACTAATTATTAGGCACAATATTAGTTATTCTTAAACATGGTAATTCTACAGGATTAGAGCTGCTCCAACATGGAAGCTTTTCTCTGTACAGGTACAGGTCATATCATAATGGATAGACTTGTTTGTTTATGCACAGTATGAATATAGTATAACTTCTCAGTATTTTCAATAATATTGGCTCGTTCTGACAGCTGCATAACCATTGTGACTCAATTTACTAAAAAAAATCCTGTCTTTAGTGAGCAACAGATATGTGTCAAACATTGTGATCAGTGCTGCATGGAACTCAGGAAGGTGGAGAAAGAAAATGAGGGAGAAGGAAAGAGAAGAAGGAGAAGAGAGTAGAAAAGAAAGACGCAAGGCAAGAAACTAAGGAGAAAAGAAGAAATGCCCACAGAGATAAAGGCAAAGGGAAACAAATTGAAAAGAGAGAAGGAGAGAGGGAAAGAAGGAAAACATTTACTCAGACAACACAGCACTCTTCAAACTAGACACTTTATTTCATTTATTTAGCACATCAGTCCTGAAAGATGTATTAATCCTTCAGGCTTACAGAAAAAATCAGGCTTAGAAAGGTGAAAGGCATTGTTTAGGATCACAAATTGAGTGTGTACCACACACTGTAAAATGCTAAAGAGACAAATAAATAAATAATGATATATAAGCCAAATCAAAATGGGTACTTTGAAAGAGTGACTGATGAGGACGGTAGTTAGAAGTAGGTAAGGGCTATAGCACTCTGAGGCAAATATGGCATTTAAATTGGACCAGTTTAGCTTGAGCAAACACCATATTACGACAAAGCTCCAGGAGTGTGCAAGGAATTTTAAAAGGTCTAGGAACTCAAATGATGCTGAAGTATATGAGCTTGAACCCACAATCTAGAAGGACTGAAAAAATAATATTTTGAGATGAATTTTCTCAATAGGTAATATATTAGTCTGTTCTCATGGTGCTAATAGAGACATATCTGAAACTAGGTAATTTATAAAGGAAAGAGGTTTAATTGACTCACAGTTCTGCATAACTGGGTAGGCCTCATAATCATGGTGGAAGATTAAGGAAGAGCAAAGGGAAATCTTACATGGCAGTGGGCAAGAGACAGCATGTGCAGGGGAACTCCCCTTTATACAACCATCAGATCTCATGAGACTTATTCACTACCACAAGAACAGTATGGGGGAGACAGCCCCCCATGATTCAATTATCTCCACCTGGCCCCACCCTTGACAAGTGAAGATTATTACAATTCAAGGTGAGATTTGGGTGAGGACACAGCCAAATCGTATCAGGTAACTACCATTGGGACTTGGTAAGAGAAGTAATATGGATCTTATCTTTGGTTTAAGTGGAAGACCTTGCTGGCATTTTTAAAGGATGGAGCATGGAGAGGAGAAATATAGAAGACAGTCTCAGAGGTCCAAAAAGGCTGTTTCAATACTTCAGGCAAAACAGGTGAGGGCCAACACTAGGGCATAGTTACAGTGAAAACAGAAAGGAAACAGTAAATATAAATTGTATTTTAGAGGCAGAATCAACAGGACGGCTCCTTGGATCAATGTTTCTCAAGGTGTAGATTAAAGGCTCAATCATCAGAATCACCTAGGATACTGGTTCAACTTGTGGATTCCTGGGTCATATTCCAGGCCTGCTGAATCAGTATCTCTGGGTCCTGCATTATTCCCAAAACTCCCCAGGTGCTTACCTACTAATTAAGAACCACAGGGTTAGCTGTCCTGAAGATCAGTGGAAATTGGGATTTGATAATAAATAATGCTACCTTGAGTTATTAGAAATGAAACTGTATTGCTAAATAAGCTAAATAAAAGGAAGGTTTTGGAGAGAAGTAACACATGTATTTGTGACACTTTGAGCTTAACATCTGTGAGAGCTTTCTGGGGGACAAGTCCAGGATATAGGAAGAATTGACATCTAAACACAAGAAAAGTTTCGGAGATGTGAACTTGAAGTCTCTTGCAAAGGTATACTGTTGAAAATGTGTAAGTGGGTGAGAATACCTAGGAAAAGATTAGAGAAAAATATAAGAAAGAAGAATATTTTGTGAAGAATATTCTATGAAATTTGTCAGAGAGGCAGAAGGGAGATGAAGAGTTCAGGAAATTAAGTGAAGAAAGAAAAGTTCATGAAAGGCAGAAGAGGCAGTGTCAAAGTTCAAACAGAATAAGGACTTCAAAGTGTCCTTTGGATTTAGCAAATAGGAATTCATAATAATTCAAAATTGCATTGAATACAAGAGAATATGCAGAGATAATGAGGTAGAGCAGAATCTGAGGATTCAGGAAAGAAGAAAATAAGTGTTGTAGTGAAGTTTCTAATTGAAACAAATGGAATGTGAACCGGAACAACTGGAGAACTTAGCTTGAGCGAGGGGAGAAATATTTCTGCTATGGAGACAAAAAGTAAGAAAATAAATAGAAGTGCTGAATTGCAAGTATATTTCTGGGGAAGAGTAGAAAGAAAATCAAGAGAATTTTTACATGATGGCTCCTTTTCAGTCTATGAAGTAGGGGGTGAGATTATCTCTTAAAACTGAGAAAAGAAAAATGAGCCAGAAAGTCAACAATATTTTTTGAATACCAATTATGTGAGTGTTGCCTTGCAGAGAAAAATAAAAATGGAACCTCAATGGTATTATAGCATTTTTCCCATCATCACACTGTGCTTAGGGGTAAAGGCAGGAGCCAAACCTAAATCTGTTAATCTGAAGCTGGTATGCTCTCATGAGCTTGAATTTGCTGATATTAATGTAGCAGAAGGACTTGGATAGAAATAATGTAAAGTAAGCAAGTATACTGTGATTTGATTCTCTTAAGCAGCAGTGCTTTTTAAAAGGGAAGTAGTTCAATTGGAGCCTGGGGAAAGGCCAATCAGATTGTCAGTGTCATCTGCCATGGTGCTACCAGGGTAGCACCTCATGCTGATTATGTAGATTAGAAAAGACCATTTATTTACTTATTTGTATCATGTAAATAGTTCCTTAAAAATACCAAAATAATCAAAATGACTTAAAAAATTCTACAATTACTATTGTTTGTTTTGATCTACCAATCCTTTGATTTCTTCATGAGCTTACTAAGAAGTAGGAATGGCCACAAAACAAAAAGTAGATGTCAGTGATTTCCACTGTAACCAATACACTAGAACTGGACTAAGGTATCAGTCCCCTGTGTATTTTCCGAGCTAGAGGCAACTCATCCGAACTCAACCTTCTTACAGCAATTTTATTAGCTAAATCTTCTCAACGCAAAAAGCTTAGGACCAAGCCTTTGGCCCCTTCAACATGCATCCCCTTTTATATTGTCCTTCCTGAAAAGTCAGCTAGTCTTCACTGGATATTTCTTTTCATTACGGTAAGTATACCATATGTAGATAACCTTGCGAAAACAGAGTGTAACAAATAAAATACTTACGTTCAGGTATTGGAATGAGTGGGATGAATTTGCTGAACACGCTCTTTGTAATAGAAGGACTGGAAACAAAGCAGGAATAATTGCCTTTGTCGGAAGCCTCAACATTTGCAATGTAGAGATTGCCATTTGTCTGAGACACAAATCGCCGTTTATCCATTGTGATAAATACAGGAAATTCATTTAGAAGCCAGCGATAGCTAAGATCATCTAGGAGAAAATATTGCCTTCTAAATATTAAGTGCTTCTCCCAAAGTTGTTACATAATTTAATAGAGGCTAGTAACAAGCTATCACTTAATCTAATAAAGGCTATTGTGGAGCAAATGTTAGGAGAAAGCCAAGACAAACAGTGCACACTTTTAAACATGTACCATATTTCACATGAATATAAGCATTACACTAAGCAATTACATCTATTTATCTATTTCTATTATTTAATAAACTATTATATTCTTGCTTTCATTTCATTGATGGGCTAAGTGAAACTCGAAGAGGTTACATAACTTGCTTAGAATGTCATGACTATTAAGAAGAAATAGGATTTTGAATCCATGTCTAATAACTCGAAAGCCATGATTAATCTGCCAAACTGCATTTTATAAATATAATTAAGATTACTTACCATATTATTGCTTTATCTTTTTTTTTTTGTGTGTGTGTGTGTGTGCACCTATTTTATAGAGTTAGAAATGAGCTTACATAACCTATTGTGGTCACATTAAAAAGGGAAACCACAGAAACAGGGAAAAGTATGGTACTGGTTTAATTAAATATTAGGAGATGTATCATATGGTAACTCTTACCCACATGAAATTCCTTTGGCTGAACACACTAACTAGTTAAATGGAAAACTGAATTTCCTCCTTAATTTGCTGCATTTCCTATAGTTTTCTATTCCTTCTTTCCTCTCTGTTTTGATGAATGACTCCCCAGGAGTCATTCAACAAATACACAAGGAGACAATGGGCAATGCATACCTTTAGGTCAAAAAATGATGATTCCCTTCAAAACATCTTGATCACATAAAGACAATTTCTACTGGGAAGAATATAAGTGGGAATCTCTCTAGGTCAGACTAGATAGGATTTTAGGTGTAAAATGGTGAAAAACCAAGAAATCACAGCACTCAGGCTTCTTTTAAAGATGAATAATCATGACAAATGGCTATTTTGCTTTCGGGAACTCAGCGTGGCTAGCAAAGCTTTCAAAGAGAGTGTGAAAGCACAATGACTATGAAAAACTAAAAGAGATGCACATTATATAAGCTTCACATAATTGGGAATAATAACCTGGGCATTATATTTAGCTTAGCTATGTAATTTTCTCCAGCAAAATACAACATCAAGACAGGCAGTGAATATGATTATATTCTTTTGGTTTTCAACATTGATTTTTTCAAATTATAGAAGCAGCAGCATATGTTTATTATTGAAGAAACAGAATACAGATAAAAAGAGGCAGAAAATTAGACTACCATAATTAGCCTCTAACTCAGAATTACGGTTAACATATATTTCTAGGCACTTATATCTGTGAATAATTGAATTCTTTTCATTTGTTTTCTTCTTGCTGATTTAGGGTCACAGGATAATTAGTATAGGAAAATATTTAGGGAGCTGCTTAAATTTCTTAAATGAGGGCTCCTGGGATAAGTAAAGAAGTATCACATTCAGAAAGGAGTATTAAGTAGTCTTTCATCCAAGCTGATATGTATAGTACATTTAAAAGAAGACTTTGATCTTTTCTGATTCTGAATTAATATTTCCTATTCTCAGTTGAAATGTAAATCCAAATTTTGTAAGGATTTCTGTTAAAAATTAAATCCCCACTCCCCCTGCCCCACCACCAAAGCCAAAAATGTCAAGAAATTTTGTATTTCCTTACAGAGAAAGGACTTTTGTAACTATAGAATGTATGAAAGATACTGCCCACAAAATGCATTTAGAGTAATCTGAATCCTCAGTGGTTATGTGAATACAGAGACCTGAATTTTAATTCTCAGTATGACTTTTTTATCAGGCCAGTTAGTCACTCTATTACTCAGTTTCTCTAAAATGTAAGACATTTTCCTGTGCCCCACTCATAAGAGATGTGTGAAAAGGAATGAAAGAAGTGATGGTACTTGATCCTTATAAGGGATAAATGCTAAATCCGAGAAGTTATTGTCGTGATGTTGTATGAACATAAGTCTTGGACTATAGAACAACTGGTCTAACTGACTGAATGCCCGATGTAGATTCTCTAATTTACTTATTTTGCAAAATCTAAGTACCTTCCAAGTGCTGCTAAACAAGATAGATGTGGCCTTTGGATTTGTGGGACTTGCAATATAATTAATCTAAATTTATTTAACAAATCTTACTTATTTTTAAAGCCATTCACTTGGACAAAACAATAATTGCAATTTGTTAGAATCTGTCAGCAATCGTTACAACAAAGGTAGGAATGGCTCTTGCCATTTTTAAATGGGGGATCCAAGGCCTAATAGGGTGAAGTGACTTGCCTGAGGTCATACAGCAAACGGGAGGCAGAACTGATGTTCTCACCTCTTTCCCCACCCACCATCACCAAAATAAGCTGTACCAACACCAGAGCAATAGCCACGCTGACTCTCCGACTTACGGATGAGATGTGACTTTGTCAATCAAGAGCTAAGCCCTGATCTAGTTCTTTCAAGGACTCAACAGACCATCTTCTTTGTGTCTTTCCTAGCCCCACACAGATGATAAAATCAATCATCTTTGCAAAAGCTATCTGTTTTCCTCGGATTATAGACTGGATTAAACAATAAATAACCATAAAATTATTTTTTCAGTAAGTGCCAGCACATACTTAAGAAATGTTGCTTTTATCGGTAGATATATGACACTTCTTGCTTTTGCCCCAGAAGTCTAGGTAAGCACATTGCAGTCCCATAGTTTTGAAAACAACTTATTGAATGATGAATCATAAATTGATATTCCATCACCCCCGACATCTACACACATATAGAACTGCCACCTTGATTTCCGTTTGGAAGCTTAACAGATGCTTCACATTTAACATGTCCACATCTATTCCTTCAGCTGAAGTAATGGCAACTTCATTCTTTTAGGATCTCACAGCAAAAACTTTTATGCCACCCTCAACTCTTGTATTTATCTTATATACCACATAAAGTCAACAAGCAAATCCTATTGGCTTTTCCTTCAAAATATATCTAGAATTTAACCAAAGTATACCTAGATTTCTATATAGAATTTAGTATATTCTATTTTATCTAGAATATGCTTGGATTTATCTTCCCACCTCCACTGCCACCACTCTGGCCCATCATATGCTACCTAAACTATTGCAATACCTCCAAACAGATCTCTTGTTTCCACCTTTGTCCTCCCCAGGTCCTTTCTTAAAACAGTAACCAGAGTCACCTTTCTATAACTTAAGTCATGTCATGTGTCTCCTCTGCTCAAAGCCCACCAATGTAAATCGCATTCAAAGTAAAAGCCAAAGTATTAATAATTGTTATGGATCATAAGGTCCTCCATAATGCAGCTCTTGTACCTCTCTTATTTCATTTCTTACTACCCTCTGCCTTATTCACTCTATGACAGCCACCCTGGCTTCCTTGGTCTTCCATAGTCTGACCTCAGCATCTTCCTGGCATGCTCTTCTCTCGGATACTCATATTGTTAGCTCCTTTACTTCCTTCAGGTGTTTATTCCAACTTTCCTTCTAGTGATGCTCCTCCTGAGTTCAGTCATTCCCCTCAATACTTACTCTCCCCACTTCCCTGCATTATATCTATCTATCTATCTATCTATCTATCTATCTATCTATCTATCTATCTATCCTTATTTAGCAATATCTAACATGGCATGTCTTTTAGCCATTTATCTTATTAATGTCTGACTCTCCCCGTGGAAGACCTCTGAAGGCTGGTAGCTTTTCCTGTTTTGCTCCACTGAGGCATTTCTGTGGCATACATTGTGCCTGCTGTATAACAAATACTCATAAGAGATTTTCTGAGTCAATGAGTGATGCAGTGAAGTCCATCCAGTATTGAATATGGTCAAATGTAGTCACTGGATAGTTTTGGTCATTACTTTGTGGGAAACACTATGAAAATGGTAGGTTTTTAAAATATGTATATATACATATATATATATATATATATATACACACACACACATACATATATATATATATATATATATATATATAATTTCAATAGTTCCTTAAGAAAAAGGTTTTTCTCATTGAAAGGGTGTTAGAAAATTTTGAATTTTATATGTACCTCCTGTATTTATCAAGCAATCATCTTTCTCCTATTGTGGAGAAAATCACAAATATTTGATATGTAAACAACCACAACTCTCTCTCTCTATATATATATATGTGTATATATATATATACACGTATATATATATATACATGTATATATACGTATATACGTATATATACGTGTATATATATACACACACACACACACACAATTTCATGTGGAATATATAACATAATTTTGTGTGAAATATATGTGTGTGTATATGTACATACACACACATCAGATTGATGTATCCCACACAAAATCCTGTATGGAGTTTAAAAGCCTGTTACGTTTCATTCTCTATGGAGATGTTTAAAGTCAAATTTAAGGCATAATATTAGAACTAAAAGAATAGAAACATGATTTTTAAATTGTGAAAACAGGTATTTATATATTGTTTCAAAGAGATATTTGATAAATAAATGAAAATTGGTGAAAGTATATGAGGAATTCATCTTTTAATTAGCACTTTGGTGGCTTTTGTCTTAGCCATATAAAATTACAGAAAACATAGATTCAAAATTGAATTTCATAACAGATGACACTTAATTTAGCCCCATTTATAAAGTAGATGATTATTCTTGCTGATTGGTATTCCTAAGGAGATTAATAATTTATTATGTCTTTATCCCTTCTAGGGTTTAGTTACATACAGTTCACAGTATTTCATAGATACTAACTTGTTAAGAAAATGATTGATTATACATCCTTTCTTGGTACTGTTCTATTTCAGGAATATTTTCTAGAAAATCTAACAGAATTTCCCTATGGAATAGGAACTTTAATGATGACATAATACTATATATATATATATATGTTTATAAACTAAAATGATTAGAGATCCTTGGGACTAGAGCCAGGTGACTGAGCCAAGAAAGAAAGTGTCCACAACAATTAGTGACACATTACAAGGTATGCAAATATTCAGTCTCATTTAATTAATAATAAGCCATGATTATTAATAATGTAGCATTATTACTAAGAAAATGGAAACTTGTCCATTTTGTTTCATAGATGCTAATAGTCAGAGAGGAATTAAGTTTACCTGGAAAATGGTATGGGGGGTCACAGAGAAGCACCATTCCTTTCCCTTCTTTTACTCTGACCTCAGGACGTTCCTCAGGTGGGAAAGGATCAAGATCTAATTACGAAAGAAAAAAAGAGAAACATTCACTCTCTGGTCAATAGAAAGAGAGACATTCATCAATTTTACCTTTCAGCAAATAACTCATTCGTGAGATACAGCACTTCTCAGTGGTTTGGTGAAGCCTAGTAAAGTCAGCTCCTCGTTCTTACATTGCTGAGATTTTGTATAGACTATTAAAAAGTTCTGTTATGAGCTCAAAGTCTATGGATATTGGGAGCAGCCTGCATAAGAATTCTGACAACCCTGAAAATCACAAATATCCTGAAGACTTTTGTTTCAGACTTAGGGAGAATCTCAGTCAGGGTATCTGGAAATACAATGAAATCAGACAAACCAGGGACCTACCAAAGAAAGTAAGTAAGAAGGAATGACTTAGAGGAATGGACTCATTTGAAGGGTATTTCTCTTCCTGAGGGAGGGCTTGGATATCGGGAAGGAATAAGGGTGAAAGGCAGGACCCTCATTAGGGAACGTGAAAGTAACCAATCTCTTGCTCCTTCTCAAATTCTGGGTTTGTTTCAGTTCTAATTTTCTTTACTCTTTTCTATGTATTTGGAACTTACATTTCACTTGATTCCTTGATATTCTTCCAGTTCTTCATTTGTTTTACTGATACTCATTCTATTTTTTTCTGCCTCTCTTCCTGTTCCTAACCTGTGATCGGCACCCAAATTATAACATTGAATTGTTACTTTTCTCAGTATAAAGTGTATACCTCTGAAAATTCATCTATGCTAAGTGTTACTTTTTTGCAGAGGACTTTTCAAATCTACTTCTCTAGGCCTGGTGTCTTACTTGAATGCCATCCCTATCCTCAATAGCTTACTTGACATTTCAACTTGGATAACTCAATATCAAAATAACCTCTGCATGTGAAGCAACCATTTAAATGCTTCCTGCCATCCTTGAAATTGGTTTTTCTTGCTCCCATCCCATTATTAATGAGAACAGAATGTTTCTACCCTCTGACTAGACATAACTTGGAAAAAAAATGTACAGTCTTCTTTCCTTTTGTGCAATGCAACCTGTTAATTCTTTCCTTATGGTTAATGTATATTATTTACATTTCCACTCTCACCACACTAATTTAATCTTACTTCTCTTCCTGGACCTTTCTCATTCCCTCCTGATAAACCCTACCATGAAGGACTTCTTAAAACATTGTTTTCATCCTATAATTCATTTTGCAAAAGATTTAAGTGCTGACAAATCACATACTGGAGATCACCTGGTCCAACTCATCTCCCAATGTAAAATTTTCTTTCAAAACAACCTCTAATTTTTAGCTTAGCACAGTTTTTCATTATTAGCCCTAATTAAAAGAAATGTTTCATGTAATTTAAATTTAAAATAAATTAACTAAAATATAATTAAATTTATTCCTACTATTAGAAGTTAAATATTAGGGAATACAATATTGTCATATTGGGTTGATCTTTGAAGAGTCACAGACATTATGTTGCAATATGTGACATTTTCTTCCCCCAAAAGACAATTTTCACCCCCTTAGGGGTGATAGTGCCCCTTTGATAATACATGGCTTGTTGCTTCCATTGATGTCTTTTTTTTTTTTTTTTTTTTAAGGCAGAGTCTTGCTCTGTCATCAGGCTGGAATGCAGTGGCACAATCTCGGCTTACTGCAACCTCCGCCTCCCAGGTTCCATCAATTCTCCTGCCTCAGCCTCCCGAGTAGCTGGGATTACAGGCATGCACCACAACGCCCAGCTAATTTTTGTATTTTAAGTAGAGACAGGGTTTCACCATGTTGGCCAGGATGGTCTCGATCTCCTGACCTCATGATCCACCAGCCTCAGCCTCCCAAAGTGCTGGGATTACAGGTGTGAGCCACCGCGCCCAGCCTGATGCTAACTTTTAAAGAGTCATTCAAGATCCTCAGACGCTGGCCTTCCTTTATTTGACAACATCATCTTTCACTGTTTCAAGTGCATTCATAGTATGCCTTGTGGTGCTTTGTTGTCTCCATTACACAATTAGGGTCCACTCATCTTGTAAGATCCACCTCATCTATGATGCCTTCCTCTCACTATCCTTTCCTGATTGTTCTTCTTGCTGAACTCACCTAAACACGCTTGCCCTTTTTTAAAAGTTACAGTTTACTTACATCCAAAGCTCAGGGTTGCTTCAGTGCTTCTGACCATCCCGTAGTTATTAGATGCTAAACAGTAGTATATTCCAGCATCTTTCTGTTTGTCAGGGTTGTTGATAACAAGGTTTCCTCCTACCATACTGTATCGATCACTTGTGAGATCAACGTCCCCATTATTCATTCTCCATCTATGAGAAAAAGACACAAAGGTCATATCACAGGTCATGAGACCTAGAAACTCTACGGAGCTAACACAGTTCTAAAATAATTTGGGTACGGCTCCATGTGAAGTCAGACAATTAAGAATATGATTCAGGTGGTATTTCTTTGTACTCTATGATTCTGAGTCTCTAGGACCATAATTTGTAATTTAGCTCAAGTACAGACAAGGAAACATCAAAGTACATGACGTATTTTGTCTTTTTTTTGTGAGGTATCTCAAGTGACAAATATTTTGTTGAGTTTTTCTCCATAAATTGATTTCTTGGGATGTAATTGATAGCCATCTATGCACCAGTTAGATTCATACATATGCAGATATACTGTATAAAGTATTAAAAGCATTGTTCTACCATAAATAAAATACAAAATATCAATATCTGACTCTAAATTTCAAAGTAATTTTTCAATAAAACAAACTAATTGACAGTGGGTTCTGCTCAATAAGTGACATATTCTGACCACTAGAGGTCAGTCACACAATTTGAAAATGATAAAAGTCAGTTGGGTTTTTAAAAATTTATTCCGAGCCACAAATATACAAGTAAATCTGGATTTTCCTCAGCCTAGAGTTAGTGGTCACTTATGTCTTTTCTCATTACTCTAAGATTACTTTTAATAAAGTGAAAAAGAGGAACAATTCTTTTTCTCCCCAACCACATAATATCATAACAATATAAGACATGCTGCAGATAATCAGAGCATTAACTGATAGGGATAGTGTTATAAATAGACTGGAAACAGGGATCTAACTTTCTGATGTGATGATGAAAAGAATGCATGTAGAAAATAGTTCTCAACTAAGAGAACCAACTGTATAATTTTATAATCATTCTTTATCAGGGTTTATCCTTTAAAGTTCCATGTCCTCAGGAAAGTCATAAGCCTAGAGCTGTGGTCAAATCGCTCAAGTAGTAGTGGCTCGTGGCCACATCGCTCATTTCCTGGCCACTTCTAATTAGAGTAATAATCATGCCCAAAAGTCCTAATGACTTTAGAATATCTGTTGTCAAATCAAAGTTACTGGAACATTATTAGTTACAATTTTCGCAGTATAGGAGATAATTTAAAAGCAAGTATAGAAAACTGTGATTTTGCATTTTTAAAACTTACTAAATTACAATCCAATGAATAAAGCCTTCCTCTTCCCCCAGGTGATGGCAATATTGTCCCTGCCTGAACCATCTAGTGTTAAGTTGCTTAGCTCTTGTCAAGACAGTGGGTTTCTTTGTTGGGCAGCTCCAATTTTTGTAATTTCTCCCTCATTATATTGGTTCCAAATATTTGTTTATTATCTTACCTTCCTCCACATGGATCTGATTGTGCTTGTGACATCATATAAGGATTACCTTTTTCTGTCTTTGAAGAAGTTCACTGGTCTAGTTTCAGAAACATAGACTATTGCTACAATCCCTTTTAATACTTTTTTATTGTAATGCTTGTTTCTTTGGGGATGGGGGCAAGATAATGAAAGCCTCAAGGCTTATAAGTCAGAAGTAAAGTACCCTGTTGTACCTCTCAGGATGTTGCTATGAATAGCACGTTGTCCCAGAACATGCTACAAATATATAACTACTATATGAATGAAAAATTGGATGATTACCAAGGTTAGTATAATTTGTCCTGAAATTATGTACATTTTAAAAACTTTAAATGTTCTTTTCCATCAAACTATTTCCATCATGAGCTGATTTTTTTTCTGTTCTTTCCCCCCACTTTTTTTTTTCCTGTCAAATGCAGACTGTCTTCATAACAAGATTAAACATCTATCTGTCTTCTCCAGTTCTGTCTATTAGTGTATGGATAACCAGGCCAAACTCAAAGTGGGAATTTCAGTGCTGGGTGCAACCTGAGAGAGGCAGTTGGTGACTTACTGGCAAAGCAAAGCTTTGCTTTTTATTGTGCCTGTGGGGTGGGGGCATGGGGGCAGCAAGGAGAAGCATAGCCTTTTCCATGTTTCTAGAATGTTATCTGAGAGCAGCCCTTTCTTTTGGTTGCCTCTGTTCTAGCCTAGAGACTGATTTGCTAAGGTCCCTTGTGTGACTGTTAACAACAGAGTGTCACAGCATAAGTGTCACTGAAAGAGTTTTTGGGATTCTATCAATCTATCCAGATAGATAAATAATGAAAAAATTGCATACCTCATTGGAAGTCATAAAAACTGTGTTTCAGTCTTGGATCTGTGATTTACTAGTTCTTGAGCAAGCAAATTTACTTATTCAGGATTCAGCTTCCTCTCCTGTAAAATTTTCTTGGATTGGATCTCCTCTACAGATCCTATTAGTTCTACTATTCCATGTCAATGACAAATAGGCTCTCATTATATATGGCTTAAGGGTGGAAATAAGTCTAGCCCATCAAATATTTTGAGAACAAATGTGTTATTTATAATTTATAAAATACCTACTTATATCATATTTCCATGTATGAAATTGAAACGATAAAAATAATTTCAATGGGATGGTGATTTTGTATCTAAATTCACAATTTTATCTTAAGAATAATTTTGTGATTATAGCCAAAGGCAGGAAAAAACTGAGTACTGTTAGAATCAAATGGGTGGAAAGGGATATTCTCTTTTGTAAGAACTTTTTATAATAATAGAAAGTTACTTTTGTATCAAGGAAAAAATATTAAAATTAACTTTGTTGAGTGACAACTTTCAATTAAGTCAGGTGACATTAACACACTAGAGCCCCCAATTTCTCCATCAGTCACTTGTTTTGTCTTCATGGAACCATTGCACAGGTGAAATTTAAATCCACTGGCATTTGGTTGATTTTTGCATCTCATTCTTTGCATCAGATGAGAAACTGTTAGTATACTTTTATGACCCATCTGAAGCAGGAAAACTCATTGTTGCTTTTTATAAAGTTGTTTTAGATAGCATACATATGTAACCCAGAAAAATAGTAAGAGGTATGTTTATATAGATTTTCCTATAGGTAGAGACATTTAAGAAATTTGCTGTGTTGGGTGGAATATAGATATGAGACTGTTGAAAAATATGGTGCTTTCTACAGTTATTTGTGCAAGATCTTTAAATGTACTTAATATAAAAATTTATCCATATCTGTAGGTATGAGTTATGCAGGCCAGTACATAACAAAAACATTTTATCCTCAAATCTGTATATTTAAATTATGCATAATTTTATGTAACCATTCATGGGCCTAAAAACATGATTTCCATTATACAATTTATAAGTGGATAATGTCAAATGCCAGTAACATTATCTGTGCAAAAAATAGTAAGAGAATTATTTGCATATATTTAAGAAAATCTGCTATTTGAGCATTAGGCAACTTTTTTAATAGTTTGTATGCCAATATTTTTGTTAATGTCCATGGAATTTGCAGAAAGCACTATATTACATCTGTACAAGTTCATAGATGCTGATCTGTGATCATTACTCTGACACTCCACTCTGAAAAGAGAAGCGAGGTACATTACTTGTAAACCGGGAAAGGGCTGGCTCGTGCCCTACAGTTGAGTGAGACTTTTCCTTCCAGTGATTCCTCTGGATAAATGGTATTGATTGGCTGCTCTTCAAAAATTGGTCCAAATCCTTTGTCTTCCTCAGAAACTACAAGAAATATGAAATTGTTTTACATTGTACTGCTTTATAAGTCAAAGAAAATTTGAGAACATTGAAAAAAAATTACTTGAAAAAAATCAGAAACAGAATCTCCATTTTAATTCAAAACAAAGATATTTGCCTCCATAATACTGAGCCAAACATCAGGTTCTTCATTTAAAATTATTTTCTGTGCATCTCCTGTCATTTTTCCAAATGTACCATGTGTTGCCAAACTTAACTACTTTCCACTTCCCCAAACAAGCTGTGCTTTCATGCCCCTGAGCCTCCGCATATGCTTTCGGTTTTCCTAGAATCATCATTCTACTTTTCTTGTCCTATCAAAATTTGCATGATCCTTTGGTGACCTAGCCATAGTTAGTTCCAACAGGAAGCCAAAACCTCTCATCTCTCCTGGCTTTTATTGGTCCTCTTTTGAGTTCCTGTAGCTCCCCATAAAGGTTATGGTACTTAATACACTTGCTATGATTCTTGGTACAACTTTCTGTTCTGCTAGATTGCAAATGCTTGAGAACAGGTGGCTACGTCTTTCATCTGTGTACATCATTCTCCTGGGTTGTCTGGAAAACAAAAGGAGCCTAATGATTTTTGAACAAGAGTCTGAATGCAAAGGAGAGCTTCTTGATGTTGAGAAAATCAGTCTCTTTTCTGAGCCAGTTTTTGTTGATTTTTTTCTAAACATGTGACTAGCGTTGGCACTCAGCACCATCTAGAACAATCAATCAATAAATTACACGGATATTGGATCTGAACAACTGGTTTAAAATTTATCACAAACAGCCGTGTTGAGAAGCAGTTATTCCTCATGGTCTATTCTCCCTGGCAGGGAAGAGTGACACTTCATAGCAGGATGAGGAGAAGAAAATCATTCACATGCCACCACTGCGGCAGCATTTAGAGAGCACAGTGCAAAGCCATATGCCTCAAATGAATTAATAATCATCTGTGTGGCTAGAAAGAACGAATATTCTTACAGGTCACTGGAATGTCTCTGCCCAATCTAAGCGATGGTTCACTCCTCCAGTTGTTTTTTAAGAGAGAGGTAAAGACAATGGCACACAAATATTTTGTCTTCTCTGACACTAAACTTGAAGATGAGAGTGCTGTTCGAGCTTCCTTTTGAACAAATAGTTTCATTATGTCATTTAAATCTTGTTTCAGTAACATTATCAGTGTGCCTTTGGACAAATTATTTAATCTCTCCAAAGCTCAATATCACTCTTTATAAAATGGGGATAATAAAATCTACCTGAAAAGGTTATTATCAGAATTATTTTGAGACAATTCATGAAAGATGGCAATGTACCTAGCTTATAATCAGCAATGAATAAATGCTAATTTTAAAAACACTCTCATGAATTTGCCAATCTCTTCAAAATTTTGTTTATGTTTCTTATGTATATAAGCTATTCAACTAATCATGAAGCTTCTAAAAACCAAAAGCCAAGTTTTCACTCCTTTGGCTCTGGTGCTGTTAGCACTGTGTTGTTTGGGACACTCAGTACATTTTTATTGTACATATAGATGGTTACTAAAATCCTCAAGTTAGTTCTGCCCCCCCCCCCGCCCCCACCACTGGTATGAAGAATTAATTTATTTAATAAAAAAGTTAACCCAAAATGTTTCAAAGGGAGCTGCCTCATTCTTGGTTGAAATTTGCTGAAACTTTTATTCAATAGTTTATAGACCTCAGACATATTCCATAACCACCATCCTATTTCAGATAGGAAATAGCTGGATCAGAATCAGAAGAATGAGAGGAACTGAGACTTAGCTCCTGCCATGAACTTTTCTAGTTATTGTCTTAGGCAAGCAATTTGTTTTACAGGGCTCGTACATTCAGAAAAGAAAGGAACATGAGCATATGTCCTAAGGACTCCATGTGCCTACCACAATTATTATTAAGATTACAAATATGAGGTAGTCACAGAGATGCTCTCTGCTAATAATTTTGAAAGTTGTGTTGTAGGTTGTCTCTAGTTCCATATCCTTCTTGAGGCTGTAAAAGCCATAAATGAATATAATGTTTTCTGCTTCACTTCTAATACTTTTACTGAAGATGCCTGATATTTTCTGGCTCTTCAGGTTGTAACAGCACAGCAGGGAAAAAATGAGAAATGAATCCTGAATCCTGATTACTGAAGACTTTCATTTTTTATGGAAGGTCTGGATTTTCTGATTTCTGAAAGAAATGACCTTGTGCTTATCTCTGATAAAAATCATACGCTATTTTTCTTCTCAGTTGGACAATTTCATAAGCTATTCCTTGAGTCTCTCCCAATTGCACAGGGTTTCTGACTGGAGCAATTTAGTTCACCTGCCATTTTGAAGATCTTGTTGTTTCTTCTCAATGCATATAAAAATGCTTAAAAAGACAAGTAGAGAAATCAATATATCTAGATTCTCTTCTTGAAGGTAAGATAATTTCTATTCCCACTATAATCCTTGATAAATAATGACTTTAGTGTGAATTATTTTAAAACAATTTATTTTAAGTCTAAGTTCATAAATATTTAGAAAACTAAAAATAAATATTGCTTAGGGGAGTGTAAAGTTCATAAAGATCTTCTAAGTACTTCGATATTTATGCGACAAGCCTAGTGATGATGTAAATGTTATTACCAATGGAGAAGGCTATACATGTAAGGAGATTTAAGGAGAAATGAATTTGTGTTGCAAGTATGCATACACTTTAAACATAAGGCCACTAATCTGCACTGGATTGGATCTTGAGTTTCCACTTCTTACAACAGTGGTAGCATAGAAATTTCAGATGGTCATGTTGGGAGCAACAATTTGATACACTATAGGTGTTAGCTGTCCTTGATCTGACTTTGGGTACTTCAGTAAGTTTTTAGACACAACACCAAAAGCATGATCTATCAAAGAAAAAAAAAGGATTAAGTTGGATTTTCTTAAAATCAAAAGATCTGCTCAGTGAAAGACATCGTTAAGAGAATCTCAGGTCTTCAGGGTTAAGAGTTTTCCTTTGAACCTTCTCTGACTTGCATTCTACAAGCAGCACATTGGAAAGATTTTTTAGAAACTAAATATCAGTCTCATTTAATAATGGGGAATATAGTAGTGATTAAATATGACTTCCTAAAATATGAACTCATCTCAAAGAGGTACAGGCTTACATTAATAAAGACCAGTTACACAATTGTACTTCCAATGTAGAAACAGACAGCCCTGGCCTGTCTAGTGTCTGCTTCTAAAGTGGCTTCTAGAAGTGTCATTATATGGAGGGTCATCGTCCAGAATTCTAAATTTAATTTATAATTTCATTTGCTTCCTTAAAAGAAGCTTTTTTATCTCTTTGAAGTAAGGTGAGTTATGGTCATTCAGAATTGCTTTGATTACTGAAAGTACTGCTTGGCGCCTTCAAATACAATAAAGACAAATTCACATGAACATATTTCTATGTAAAGATTAGTAGATTTTCATATTTTAATGAAATGAGTAGTCTTAAGTATTTCTTTTGATAATGTATCCTTTCATTTAAGGTATATTATGCTTTTGAGATAAAAGTTGGTCAGCTTTCAGAAAACTGAGAATATGTTTTAAGTAGCTTTTTTATCTTAATAATATGTATTTTTAAAAAAAGAAAAAGGTGCTAGCAAGGAAAATTTTCATTGAAAATTATAGAATGTCACATACTAATAATGATGAGGCCATGCCTATAAAGTTATACTGAGTGTGTATATAGGGTTATTCCTATATATAAGGAATGAGCAAACCCTCAAAGGGGATATACAATTTTGGAGTGAATTTTATAGGCCAAACTGGATAACATTGGTGCCTTATGCTACTTTTTCTTCTCAGTTACAATACTTTTCACAAATTATATGTATATATTTCCCAATACTCCCACTTATATTTGACCTTTATAGGAACAGACAATGCAAGCTTTCAAGGATTAAAATAAGAAGCGAATCTCCAAGAAAATACTGAAATTATTTTTCACATTGAGAGAATATTGCAGTTAAGATATTTCCCTTTGCTCTTTCCTAGAACAAAAAGCAGAATAGGACACACTTCACGTCACATTCATTTTTCTATTAAGGATTTTATTTCATAACTATATTCTTCTTGCTTTCTAAACTTTTCAAGCCTGAGTCACATAATGTATTTTGTTTGACGGTTTAGAAATTACTGTATATATTTTATTTTAGGAACATATTTGGGCCCTTGAAAGAAACATTACTCAAAACAAGCATCTGTATTGCATTGCCAGGTTCAGCATGAACCTCTTGAATATGATCCTCATGTCTCCCTCGCAGGCTGTACCTTAGTTTCCGACCACGCTAGCTCAACTAGGGTGCTCAGATGCAGGGAGAAGAATTTTGAGGGATATTTCAATACAAAGCTCAGCAAAGGATCCAGTAATGTAAGCATTATGTTCTCAGCCTACAGAAAATACTGTCATCTATTGATTTTTTTCTACAGCCATGGAAACACTTAGATGACAAATTTTGATGCTTTGGAAGTATTATGAGGTTAAAAGGCATAAGAAACAAACCACAGATAGAGATTGTGTTTTTAAAAACTAAAATTATTTTTTAATACATTCCTTTTTTTTACTAGATAGATTCTTCTTAAAAGGAGCACAAAGTTATAGATGACCTCTCAAGCTAATTGAAGCTTTAACATTTCATATCACTATTTTGATCTGCTTTTAATGCAAATACATTTATTTCCTACCAGATAATGTGATTATCATAAATCTATTACAGACATAAGTACATTTCTTAAATGTGATCAAAAAGACTAAGATAGAAATAAATAATGTAAGAATATTTGCAGTCATATTTACTAATGTAAATGAGAGGCAAAAGCTACTGTTCTTTCATTCTCACTTTCGCCATTAATATAATTAGTCACTTATATAATCTCAAATGGGATTACTTCACCTACCACTATGTGGAGAGTATCCACTATAATATTGCTATTCTATTTTACTTCCAGGAATTGAAAGTAAAATTATGATTTGTACTTCAGAGATATTTGTATTCATTTTATATACTTTTTGAGACAAACTCCACTTCCCAGTCTATTATATGTCACCTCAATCTGTTAGTTAGTAAACACAATTTTACATAAGCATGTTGTAAGAAGAGTCCTAGGAAAAATCTGTTAGAAAAAGGTAATGGCATCAAAATTTCAAAAGACTAAAATGGAAATTTTTACATTTACAGTGTTACAGTGATTATTGGGTGGGGAGTGGTGTAAGCTCTCTTGAAACTCTCTAAATGAGATAATATTTAAATTGTCACAAAGCATCCTTCTTCCACATATTACAGCTTCCTATCTCCACTGCCAACCATTTCCTGCTGATAACAGAAGATGGGCTTAGCCTTTAAACACTCTGGTGCCCCAGTTTTTTAGGGTCATGGGTAATAGGTAACATTGCAGTACTTTTTTATAACTAAACATACAAAGTAAGGAGTTGGCCTCAAAAACTTGCAGAAATACAGTTATTAGAATAAAGAATATAGTCAGGTTAGTATGAAAGTTAAGTGAACTAAATTCTCCTTGCTTGGCTTTACCTGCCCAAGGGGAGCCTGTCACATCTCTCTAGAGGAACTACTTCCTTGTCCTGTGACCCACCTCTGAAGCATCTAGATTCTGTTTTACATACCTGGCTGGGCATCTTCTGACACCTACCTCACGTCTTACTACATCCTAATATATAGCATGACTGGGCTGGTGGGCCTACTTCCAGAACTTGGCCTGTTTCAGTCTAACTCTAGTCTATTTTGATTAATGGGGCTATGTGGGACCATAGATCAAAATAGAGACAGGTCACTGACTGCTATAAAATGTCAATCATATTTAGAGATAGAAATATGTACTGAAAATAATTCTTACTGACTGATGTGAGTCTAGTTGAAAAAATATACAGGAAATCTTGGTGCAAGTACTGTAAAGATATATGAAATGTTCTACCTGTCCTCCCTACAGCTAAGCAATGAAGATAGTTTTTTTTTTTAAATATTAGCTTTGGATATTATACAGTCATATCATAACTCTAAATGTACAAAGTATAAATTATATATTATTTCATATCCCAATTCTTACAAAATATATATTATACTGCTATTTTATTTCATTTTTAAGATACTTTTTCTCAATGAATTACAAAGGAATGAAAGATACTTATTTTCATTTTAGATTAGCCTGGGTGTAAGTTGGTCCTACAATAGCTGCAGGTTTTTTTTTTTCTTTCTGAAAGTAAAGTAAATGCAGACTACAAGTGGAAAAAAGCATCTAAAATATTTGCTGTCAAATGATTTAGTTATTAATTAAATATCTAAACATTACAGATTATGTGCAACTTATTCATATTTGCTCTCTTATCTCAATAGAATACAATATTGCTTTCACAAAATCTAAAAAAAAATTAAGAAGAAAAATATTCTTAAAGACATTGAGTGAAGTTGGTTTTGATGATTTTGTTATAATCTTTTATGTACTTTGTTTTTCAAATTTAAAATGTTTTTGTTTTAATACATATATTTGAACACTAGCTACTAATGTTGCTGTAAAATAATCATTAAAAACTATTATATATGCTGGATGACATATTGGATATAACTTTTTCATTTGTGAGAAAATTCTCAATTTCAATTCACCTGAGTAATTCGCAGACATTGTTGGTTGACTAATCAGCTCCTCTTCTGCCCTTTACTTTCATGACAAAGCTCAGCTTAGTTCAAGGATCAACCTATCCCTCACATGACTCAGACGTAAAGGTTGACAGGGAGTGATGCCATTACTCTTGCTAGCGATGGGCTTGTTGGTGAATGTGTGACCCAACTCTGGACATGTAGTGTAAGGTTTCTGGGAAAGGTCTCCTTGTTTTTAAAGGTAGATAGATACAAGAAAAAAAACAAGCATGCTCTATTTGCCTACAAGACATTGTTATGTCTCTGTGTGATACCTGGAACTGCAGCACTGCTGCCAGCCGGTTAAGTAGGAAGCCTGAGAGTTGACCACTGGACTTACAATGTGTGACATTAGAGACATGAATGAGGCAGTTTTTGTTGAGTGCTCGTGGGAAACACTGATTGCAGCAGATTAAAAGGAGAATATGGGTCAAGGAATTGGAAAAAGCAGCCATAGGCTATTTTTAAAAAATACTTAGTGAATAAGTCTCACAAGACCTGATGGGTTTATCAGGGGTTTCCGCTGTTGCTTCTTCCCCATTTTTCTTTTGCTGCGGCCATGTAAGAAGTGCCTTTTGCGGCCGGGCACGGTGGCTCACGCCTGTAATCCTAGCTCTTTGGGAGGCTAAGGCGGGCGGATCACGAGGTCAGGAGATTGAGACCATCCTGGCTAATATGGTGAAACCCCGTCTCTACTAAAAATACAAAAAATTAGCCGGGCGTGGTTGCGGGTGCCTGTAGTCCCAGCTACTCGGGAGGCTGAGGCAGGAGAATGGCGTGAATCCCGGAGGTGGAGCTTGCAGTGAGCCGAGATCGCGCCGCTGCACTCCAGCCTGGGTGACAGAGCGAGACTCCATCTCAAAAATAAATAAATAAATAAATTAAAAAGTGCCTTTCGCCTCCTGCCGTAATTCTGAGGCCTCCCCAGCCAAGTGGAACTGTATGTCCAATTAAACTTCTTTTTCTTCCCAGTCTGGGATATGTCTTTATCAACAGCGTGAAAACAGACTAATACAATGGGTAACCTTGATTTGGCATGCAAGTTCTAGCACTGGTTGTTCAGTGATTCTTCATGATTTTTCATTCTCCTACCATCATGCAATGGCTTTTGTAAGTTACTAGTGTTGCTACACTCATTAAGCACCTACTTGCCAGTCATTATGCTAGAAGTTATCATTGCAATTCATTTTTTAGTCCTCACAACAATTCTGTGATTTTTACATATTGGAAAGTTGAGACTCATAGAAGTTATATAATTTATGCAAGATAATAAAATCATCTAGTAAGTACTGAGCTGAAAATGCAAATTCAGGCTGGTCTTACTCTAGACTCTGTATTTTTTCCAGTATACCATGCTGACTTTATTTCTGCAATATCTGTTTGGTAGTTGAAGTAGGCTCTAAACTGGAAGGATTATTAAACAATAAATTTTGCAATACCTGTGGACTTTTAATTGAACTGAATCTTAAGATTCCAATTTCACTAACTTTAGTTATCTCCCTTGCAACAAAGCAAGAGGCTTTCAAAAATAAGTTCAAGGCTTACAAATTTTAAAATATTGCTTCCAAATTTAGTCGCATAGCATTGTTACAAAGCATGCAGGAAAAAAAGCCAGCCAAATTGAATATTTTCCATTTGCTACAATCCTCTAATAGGATATTTGTTTATGATGTATCCACTCATTCAACAAACAGTTTGCTTATAATCTCAGAAAGACCACCTTACAAAATTTCATAGTGATCTAACATTAACCATTTGCCTTAAAGTTTAGAGAGTTAATAGTTTAAAGCAGAGATAAAATATGATTCAATAGAGAAAAGATGTTTACAAGGTCTACTCTTTGGTCAACTTACCTCCATGACCATATCTTCTATACCATGTAAACTCTAAAAATGAAAGAAAAAACAATTTTGATCCTGAAGCAATTATTTGAATTGTGGTTTCAAACATTACTTAAATAGCTGAGATGCTAGACAATGGAATGAGAGTAGTGGCCCTTTACTATAAAGGTTGAAGTATCTTCACATCTGTGCAGATACTTATTTCTTATCTTTACATTGATAGTTGCAGCACCGAAGTTTGCAGTCAATAGAATTCGTATGAATTTTCAGTAATAATAAGATAATTTTTATTTTATTTTATTCACAAAAATAAGACTTCACAATGACTTTACCAAATTTTTTCTTTATTATATTTACATTATATATATGTAAATATATTATGCATGTAATTACATCTATGTATGTGGGTGTGTGTGCATAATTACCCTGGTTATAAAATATATATTTATCAATGTCATTAAAATCCTTAAGTACTAATGAAATGATCTTTTCTGAGTTTTGGAGTGAGCATAATAAAAATTATTCCCCAAAATAAAATAATATTTTTTTATGTTCTTAATAATGATGCCCGTCAGATTAATCATTAAAGTGATCAATGGGGATTTATATACAAAAGGATGAGGACCATTTATGTCTTGAACAAAACAGTCACTCAACAAGTATCTACTGGGTTAGGTCATTATCATGAAAGTATTAGAAAAATTGGTTGTTAGAATTCAATTTTTCTAATACTTTCATAATAATGACCTAGCTCAATAAGTACTAAATGACCTAGCTCAATAAGTACTAGTTGGGTAATTATATCAGTTTTTCAGATAAAGATATGATGTGCTTCTCATTGTAGGAAATAGGTCTGAATGCTTCACACTTGCCTTTGAAAGACAGAAATATAATATTTCTTTGTCCTAAAATGAATGTACTCTCAAAATTGTTTTATTAGTCTTATGTCCCTACACACACTGTAGATTACTTTAATCCATTTTTTAAATTATATTGATCAAATTGGCAAAAGAGTTGTGTAAGATTCAGTAGTGTGTTGCATCTGCTTATAGCTCTTAAGAAGTGATTATTAATTTTCAGAAATTTTGTGAATCAGTTGTTAAACATGGCCAGTATTAAAAATTGTATTAATTTACAAATGAATAAATTATACTAAGAACAAAGGGAATAAATGCTTAAAACCCATTGTTTTCTCTCTTTTATTTACTATATTTTATATTCTCTTTGCCATTGTGGTTACTTATATCAGGGTGGTGAAAATACTACAGACTGGTGAGCGGTTGCACATCTTTCCAGTTCCACATTAAATGATGTCAGGTTGAAACTGGCCATGGTAGGATAATTTACTCCCCAGTAATAGACAAATGCTACACTCCAGGGATCTCCCCAGAGATCTAGATTTTAAACATTCACCAGCACACTATTACCCAAGATTGACAATGTTTTGTGAAATCTTAATTGAAATTAAAAAGGAAATAGGGTCACCCTTGATACATATTTATCTACTTATCTGACCCAGATGTCGAGAAAATAAGAATTTTTACTTCATACAATACATTTAATAAACACGCATATCAATTATGTTGACATAATATATGTAGAATATACAAAGGATATTTCTTACCTGCTAAACAGGTAGTAATAGATATTATCACAAGATGACTGACCAGCAACCACATTTTCATCTTGTATTCAGTAGAAGTTCGGTTCAATTTTCCAAAAAAGAATTTAGCTCTATGGCAGTTGGATAATTTTAAACACCTGCATCAAGAAAGAAAAGAAGAAGAAGGAAAGAATTAGAAGGAAGGAGAGGGGAAGGAAGGGGAGAGGAGGAGAGGAGAAGAAAGAAAGGGAAGGAAATTGGAAATGTTCATCATTTGAGGAAAACATTATTAACCTATGTGACTTTATGCTTTTCGTTTGTAGAATAAGTTTTCATTTATTTAAATATATTTGTAAACACCGTGTAATGCAAAGACTGGAGTCAGTATCAGAAGGCTTCAGCTGACATCCTAGTATTGACACAATGCAATCATGAGTGTCACTCAATCATGTGTTTAGGTTTCTTTTCCTCTGTAACCATTGAGTATAATAAGTCTTTTCTACAAATAGCACAGTTGTAAACATTTTGATATCATTCACTTTAATTGAAGGTTACATTTAACGGAAGGCCTGGTTCAAAGATTCAATTGAAGTTACATTTGTATAAGAGCTTGTAAACTCACAGACATTACACAAGGGTGATGATGTTAGCATTTTCTGTTAGTGGCTTAAGGAAAATTTTTGCCAGACATGCTAATTTTAAATGTTACAATATATTAATTAATAAAATATTCATTCCTCCTCATCCCTTTTACTTCTTTCACTTATTCAAGAAAAAAGCAAATAAGTGTTCCTTGCATGTCAACAGGGGACAATCAAGGTTTTGTGGGGCCAAAATTGTCCATTTGGAGAGCCTTCTTTCAGGACAAGAAGAAAATAAAATTACTAATATAAACGAAAATACAAAACCATGTAGCAGTCTAATTAAAATATCTTGCTTTTAAAAATTTTGCAATCATGTACGACCATGTGATTACACTGCTAAAGTTTCACCCAGGACCCTGGAATAGCCTCATGCAGGTGAAGGGCCCTGCTACTTAAGTTTCATCATCTCCGTGGTAAAATCCACCACTGTGACTAAGCATGTAGCTATGAAGACTCAAAAAAGAAAGGCACAGTTTGCTTGCTCTTAAGAAGTTCACAGAAAAAGAGTACACAGATATGTGAACAAGCCAGTGCAATGACATAGTTGTGTGGACCTGTATGCTATTAAACGTGAAAAAGTGTTAATCATTTTCACTGAAACCATGGTAAACACAGCACGGTGGGAATGGGCCTTCCTGCGGTAGGCAGGGCCTTATACAGGAGTGTTGCATTCTTAGATTTGAGTCATTTGGTGACTTCCTGCCTCAACCACTGCTTACTGGATCACCTTAAGAATGATATGGCCTAGGGCATTAGAGCACTCATCAATAATGACACAATAGGGGTTTCATCTTGAAAAGACATTAAATCATTGTTTTAAAAGAATATATAATAGCATAACTGAAATCTCATGACATAGAATTGAATGAAAACATAAATTAAGATAGAGCATGGGCTGGGCACAGTGGCTCACACCTGTAATCCCAGCCCTTTGGGAGGCTGAAGCTCGTAGATCACCTGAGGTCAGGAGTTCGAGACCAGCCTGACCAACATGGTGAAACCCCCATCTCTACTAAAAATATAAAACTAGCCTGGCTTAGTGGCGCATGCCTGTATCCCAGCTACTCAGGAGGCTGAGGCAGGAGAATCACTTGAACCTGGGAGGTGGAGGTTGCAGTGAGCCGAGATCTTCACACCACTGCACTCCAGCCTGGGCAACAAGAGCGAAACTCCATCTCAAAAAAAACAAAACAAAAAAAAAGCATGAAAAACAATTTTAAAAGGAAAACACATGTTGTAGTGTTCAACGTATAAATATAGTCGAACATATTTAAAACAGCAACATTAAAATCCTACTGATTGCTTGCACCATACTATTATGTCAGAGAAAAATATAGGAGTCTATTTATTTTTTAATGGATTTTGAGAACACATATACTCCCTGATTTGCAAGAATCCTAGCATTTGGCAGAGGCTGGACAAAATTTTTACCTGGACCATGGTAATATATGGGCCAGGATAAACATATTTTTCCTTTTTAATATATATAAGCCTGAAATTTTAAATTTTTATTAATTTATTTTCCTAGGCAGAATTGGGCAGAGAGGAAAATAAACAGTTTAATAGAGGTGAAGAATGAAAAGCAATTTTTTTTTCTTTTGAGACGTAGTCTCTCTCTGTCGCCCAGTCTGGAGTGCAGTGGTGCAGTCTCGGCTCACTGCAAGCTCCACCTCCTGGGTTCACGCCATTCTCCTGCCTCAGCCTCCCGAGTAGCTGGGACTACAGGCACCCACCACCACGCCCGGCTAATTTTTTGTATTTTTAGTAGAGACGGGGTTTCACCGTGTTAGGATGGTCTCGATCTCCTGACCTCGTGATCCGCCCGCCTCGGCCTCCCAAAGTGCTGGGATTACAGGCGTGAGCCATTGCACCCGGCCAACAATTCTTTTAGAGGACAGGAAAATCAATTACATGATCTGTGGAAAGATTTTTAGCTTTTTATTTTGATTGTGCATGACATCGTTATCTACATATAGACTTAAGTGAAAATTTTTGAAATGTGTACACACTGGTTATGCCTATCTAAACTTTGTCACAAAAATGTGAATTTGATCACTTTTTTTGTCCTGATAGTTTCTAATTTTTCTCATTGAGTTACACATACAAAATAAGACAAGTTATATTTTAATGAAGAGAAAGTTAGAAAAAGCAAACACATAAAAATGCCAAAACTTTAATGCCAATCAAGCAATTGACTTTGTAAAAATTAACTTAGATGACATATTATTATTTTTATTTTTAATTTTATTATTATTACACAAATCCTAATTTGTGTAATCCTAACTGTACTCCAGCCTGAGTGACAGAGTGAAATCTTAATTTGTGTAATAATAAACTGTTATAATTTGAGAATTCTAAATGTTTCCCACAGATATTCACATTTAAGAGCAAGAGATGCTACTGCAGTGTTGCTATTGAGGGGCAAGAAAGCAGCACTGACCAGAGAGAAAAAGAAACAGATAAATAAAGGTGAAGAATTAAGAGCAATTTCTGTGAAAGTTTGCTTCTTATTTTTCATTTTGATAGAGTACATCAGTGATATTTTGGTCTATTTACCCATGAACTGTATAGATAATCTGGAAAGAAGTGGGATAGGCCTAAAAAAAGATTAGTTGTGTCCACATACAGCAAGATATCTCAGTAAATTGAAAATAAAATACAGACAACTTTTCTAGGGCTAGAATGTAATTTAACAGTTCCTTCTCAATAATGACCACAGTATATGGGAACATGTGCCAAAATGCATAAATGTGTACAGGGAAAGTTAGCCATATCTTGCCGAATTTTGGCTCAACCATTCTTTAGCTTGCAACTTTGGGCAAATTACTCAGCCTCTGAACCTAATTGTCTTCACCTTTTAATATGGAAAGAATATCTAATTCATAGCACAATTGCAAGGTTTGCATAAAGTTGTGCATGCAAAATGTTGACTGAAAGTATTCAGTAACCATTTATTATTCCATTAGGCTGTAAGCCAACCAGGGCAGGGGATACATATCTTGTTCATTGTTGTGGCGCTAATGCCTGACACACAGAAGTCACTTGATATGGAGTTATTGAATAAATGATGAAATGAATGGACCATGTACATAACTATAATCCTATCCAAAATGAACTTTAATTTCCTAAAATAAGAATAGGGTCTGGGTCCAGTGGCTCACACCTGTAATCCCAGCAATTTGGGAGGCCGAGGTGGGTGGATCACCTAAGGTCAGGAGTTCGAGACCAGCCTGGCCAACATAATGAAACCCTATCACTAGTAAAAATACAAAAAATTAGCTGAGCATGGTGGCATGCACCTGTAATCCCAGCTACTTGGGAGGCTGAAGCAGGAGAATTGCTTGAACCCAGGAGCTGGAGGTTGTAGTGAGTGGAGATCATGCCACTGTACTCCAGCCTGGGTGACAGAGTGAAACTCTGAGAAAGAAAGAAAGAAAAAAGAAAAAAAAAGAAAGAATGAAAGAGGGAGGGAAGAAGGAAGGAAGGAAAGAAGGAAGGAAGGAAAGGAAGGAAGGAAGGAAAAAGAAGAAGAAGGAGAAGGAAAAAGAGAAGAGGGCTGGGCGGGGTGGCTCACGCCTGTAATCCAGCACTTTGGGAGGCCAAGGTGGACGGATCACGAGGTCAGGAGATTGAGACCATCCTGGCTAACACAGTGAAACCCCATCTCTACTAAAAATACAAAAAATTAGCTGTGCGTGGTGGCAGGCGCCTGTAGTCCCAGCTACTCGGGAGGCTGAGGCAGGAGAATGGCGTGAACCCAGGAGGCGGAGCTTGCAGTGAGCCGAGATCGCGCCACTGCACTCCAGCCTAGGCGACAGAGCGAGACTCCATCTCAAAAAGAAGAGAAGAGACGAGAAAGAAAGAAGGAAAGAAAATGTCTATTACTGGGGCTTTGATCCTTGTTAGGGATTCCTGCAGTTTATAAATATACTCCAGAAAAGGATATTTTAAGTATCAATATTTAAAAGCATTTTGAAATATGTGGTTTATTGGGCATTACTGGAAGTCTGTTTTCCAGTTCTGAATATGTACACTCTAATCAGAATGAAAAGTTATTTTCATTATTTTGAGCCTCTCTGTGTTATTCCATGCTATCTTTTCCTTCACTTCAAAATGTTTTGTCTTTCATTAGGACAGTGAGACATCCCCCAGCAGCATGTAATTTATTTTATGATATAGATTTCTTGCCATTCGGGTATAAAAGTATCTTTCATATGTTGTTCACACATTTATTTTTCTGCTGGTGATCTGTTCTATTGTGTCACCAGTTATCCCATCATTTGTGACTCTCTGATCACATCCTTCAGCAGCACAGTAGAGAAGGCAGCAAGCTGAGCCCATCCTACTAATGTGGAAGAAACTGCCCCTACTACTTCTCTCTTGAGGCCACACCACTTAGTAATTCACAGCTAGCCCCCTGACCTCCATGGACCTGAAAGTGTTGCAAAAAATGAAGTGACAGAGGCAAAAAAAAAAAAAAAAGCAACTCTGACAAACATGTGCCAGTCACAGGAGCAGACTTGTTTCTTCTCAACAACTGAAATAACAGAAGGACCAGAAGCAGGAACTGGGGGTGCATTCCTGTTCCTGAGGCCATGCTGTGCTGGCCAGCTCCCTGAACGTGTCAGCCTTCAGAGCCCTGTGACCTCTTGTACACCCAGCCAGGCCTTATGCCAGGTACTGCTGCTGCTGCTGCTGCATCTCACAACCTCATGCAGCTCTGTGGGTCTCCATGACTGATGGATCCCTGACATGGACTGGCACTCTGTTAATTTCCAGGAGAATTCACCTTCTGTTCTCCAGCATCCTTTACTAAATCTCTTACACATATTTTAAAACAACAGCACTTCTCAATATAGTAAGGCAAGGCAGTATGACACATCTTCGTCTTTCTTTCTCCTTCTCTCTTCCTCTACTTGTCATTCTTCTTCCTGCTCCCTCTTTCCTTTAGACAACACTAGGGTTTTCTCATTTGAGAAATCTGTCCTATATCTAGATATGCATTTTTCTGCTGGACAGACCTCCATCTAGCTCTTGTCATGTTTTATTCTGGTGCTGGATAGTCCAAATAAATTATTATAAAATGCTTCAACAATATATTAGCAACTATTATTTACAAAGAATTTAGTACTGCTATGTAATGAAAGTGTGTTCCATCATGACAAATGAAACTAGCTTTTCATCGCACTGATGATTAGACAATCATTTACATTGACAGAGAACATCTCAAGAATATTGAAGAAATATTCATATATATCAGCAAATGGTCATATCACTTTTACAAAAAAAATTTTTTGGCACATCAGGTACAAAAAAATGTGCCTTTATCCATAAATTGTACCTCTATTTCAACCTCGTGAAAGTTCATTTTTTAAAAAAATATTTAACCTAAAATTTGATGTTGAACAACATTCACTACAAAGTTCTATTTCCAAGAGATTATCAGAAGCTTATTCAAGTTAAGCACATATTATTCCAGACAAAAAGACACCAATATCTCCTACTCTACAATTCAAAACTGAGGGACAATTTCCTCTCAGACTCGATCTGAAATTCTTCCTCTGCTGCTCAAGTCCCTTCATCTTCTGAGGTGTCAGTCTTTAAAATGAAGATCCAAGTTCCTACTAAGAGTGTTATTGTGAGGTTTAGGTAATGCATGTATATGGATATGTGTGTGTGGATGTAAAGCTTTGCAGCATATGTACATAAAAGTGAAATGCATGAAACGAATACATGAAATTTTCTGGAAATAAAACTAGTTTTGAATTTTAAAATTGCTACCCCTTTAAAAGGGGATACTATACAATGAAATACAAAGTCAATTAAGCACTTTCATATAAATATTATCTCTCTCCAGTTAATTTTTGGATTATTAAATACAATTTAAATATAGGTGATGAAACCCCCTTTAACTGACTAATGGTATGTTTTAGATCAGCCTCACACTGATTTCTTTACACTCTATAAACAAAAGTCTAACCATTTTCTATGAAGTCATTAACAATGTTTAAGCAGCTTATTGCAGTGGTCAAATACATTTCATAAAAATTTCTGAAGACCATACTGTTCTAAGCCAAGGAATACAGTACACACACAAGGAGAATACCCCCTTTTCTGCAAATGATTACAAACAGTATCCTTCCATTGTCAGAATAAAATATGTTGTTCAATGAGCAGATAGAGCTGCATTGGTCTTCAGATGGCAACAGCCTTAGCCCCTCAAACAGCCTGTCACTTGAATGTGTGTGCCGTATACATGAAAGAGGAGCAATACAACACATTCTAAAACATCTCATGAAATGTAACATCCCCAGAGTATCAAACATTCCAACCTTCACTTGGCACACTTACTACAATAATTCTTGAACTTTAGTATGCCTACAAATTACTTAGGAAGCTTGATTAAAATCAGATGCTTGAGCTATTTCCATAGAAATCCTTATTATCTTGCGATTTACTCAGGAATCTGTCTAATTAACAAGTGCACCCCAAATGGTGTTAAGTGGACCCTGGACCACATTTTGGAAAACACTGACTTAGCGTTATTAAAAATATGCTAATTTTTGAATATAAAAAATCCTTTTTATGATCTAGATCAAGAACGGATTTTAAATATCTTTTTAAAAAACTACTAAAACATAGAGAATTTAAATGTGTCTAGAATAAAAGGATTCAAACCCTGGCTGTATTACTAGCTATGCATTTTTGGGCAATCTACACGATCCCTATTAACTCAGTACAGCTCTAGAAATGTGAGAGATTTGGTCAGGATCAGATACGAAAATGTACAAGTTAGTGGCTTATAAGATTTTAAGCAGATATGCTTGTTACTTCCTACTGCATTTATGTATCTGAGGTTACTGTGTCACCTTCAGTACTCCCATTAATTGCCTGGCTCCCTTCAATCTCTTCTACACAGATTCTTCATGTAAATCATCGACAACAGAGCGGTTGTCAGTTTCACATCCCCTCATCCTTTGCAACTCCTACTGAAACCTATCTACCATGTTTTATCTTTCCTTTAATATTCATTTAATATTTTAAGCAGCAATTATTTGCCAAACCTAAAATATAGCTTTGCCCTTGAGTAATAAACTGATTCTTATTAATATACTGATAGGAAAGAGGTTGAGTGGAATCTCGTAAATACATTTGTGAGTTCTAAATCTTGCTTGCTAAAACAGTGCCTCTTTTGTTCATTGATTGAATCAGTAATTCTCAGCATTGCTGATAAGCAAGAAATAATATCACTTGATTTGTTCATTATTACTATCTCCATTTTCCATTAGCATGTCAAATTTTGTAATTCTAAGCAAAATAACTGTGTGGAGTTGGTACCTTATCAGTTCCACAGGCAAGATAGTTTGGAATCAGCAGGGCTTTTCTGCATTTTCTCAAACTTTACAAGGCACCTAACCATACACACACACACTCCCAAAATGTAGGACAAAAATCTATGTGGGCCTTCCTATTTTTGCTACCACCTAAAAATGATGGTTTCCTGAAATTCCAGGGAATACGTGTGGCTGTAGCAATTATAGTCCTGTGTGACACCATGGGCTTAAATTATCCCAGTAAAAATATATGCTATAAATATCACAAATAAAGTTTCACTATTTTTACATTCCTCTGCTTGCATTACATCATTTCAAAAATAAATGAGCAATTAATTTAATTATAAATCCAATTATACAAAAATGTAAGCAGTCAGTTGTTCTGTAAAATGCATGCCGTCCTGTCAGCACTTAATTAACATCCATATCTGTCAAAGCCTTAAGATTTTTTTCTCCTCAGCAGCCATTTCTAGAGATGGACTGACTTAAAGGGATTACATGGATTGCTCTAATACAAATAGCTAGTAACAGAGCACAGAGCAAGGGTTTCTATTCCGTACAGATTTAAATCCCTTATCGTTTATTACTTAATTTTTTTAAAAGATACTTAGTATCTGTCTTTGCTTTAGATTATTTAAAAAACCAGTATTTTGCATATTTAATAATTAACATATTTTTCATAACAATAAGTCAGTGTTTCCCAAACTGTGGTCCAAGGGCCACCTACATTAACAGCACTTGGCACGTGATTGTTAAGATCGATTTCTGAGCAACTCTTGAAGAATAGTCTTAATATTTTCATTTTAATCAAGTTTTCCGGGAAATTTGTAGGCATACTAAAGTTCAAGGATTGTCGTAGTAAGTATGTTAAGTGAAGGTTGGAATATTTTCGTTGCTCACAGAGAACAATGTATAGGTATCTATGTGCATGCAAATGTGTTCCAGGGCCACACGTTCAGCCAACACATCTCTAAAAATTAGAAGATGCATGATATTTAATAGTCTGTCTCTTAAAATTATGTCTATGGTATATTTTGTGTGGCATTTGGTCTACATGATGAATAAATATCCTCTATGTCTACATCTGATTCATTTTGCCATATCATAATAAACAAGGCATTCTGATGTATTGCTTTGACTAATAACTAGAAGGTTTCTGACTTTTATGTGAGACTGTCTTATTGGACGATAATGACCTGATTGAATGTGTTTTAACTACCATTGTTGCTCAACTGCAATTCAAACCGATCTGAGATTGGTAGACTACTACAAAAGAAATATGCTTTGTGATACCTGTGAATCATATCTAGATCCAAAGTAGAATTTTGAATTTAATACAGCAGAAAAAAATCCTATGTCAGCAGGATAGAATGTTCAAACTCCTTTCTCTTTTGCTCTCACATATAAGCATAAAAGGATAAGACCTGTAAAGAAATAGTGCCAGATCCAAGAGCTCACTCAATGTACCCTGAGAGTTTTAAAGACTTCCTGTGCTGTAATAATCCCTTTGTATGGCCTTACTCCACTGTGGAGATGCCCACATCTAATAAGAAGGCTTCATCACTGCTGCCACTGTGCTTTCTGAGGTTCCACTCTAAGTCGTTCTACCTAATGCTGCTGCATAGGATTATGATGCTCGAGGCTGCTGCATGCTGCACAGTATCTGAATATCTTTGTTAAAATATCAGGCATTTATTCCACTTCACAAATCTAAAGGTACACAAAACTTCTGAGTGTCTTCTGACACGAGACCACCCCTGAAGGGAGAATGAGACTGATGATCTCATAACTCCTATTAGCTGCTGTTCAGATTAAGAGACGTCAACATGGAAGGTACAGTCCTCCTGGGAGCATGATGTAATCATTGACATTCTGTTTTTTAGGTAAAAGAGTCATTGAATACAGGTCATTGTATCAGTACTTAAACTGATAAGTGATTCATACCAAAATTATTTAGGCCCTCATTTCTAGAAAGAACATAAGAGAATTTTATGTTAAATTCACTTCAATTCAATTAAAACTGTTCAAGTATTTATATTTGAAACATATATAAGTTAATCTCAATGATTGTGCAATTTAACCATGCAGACATCTGTTTTTATTCAAAACCCGTTCGAAGACCAAGAAATGCATTACATTTTCTTTGAAGAATATATAACAAAGTAATCCTATAAGGGAAGATGAATGGTAATTTAAAATTATTTATTAATTTATTGCATACATATTTCTTAAGTATCTACCATGTCCAGACATATTGTAGCAGTAGCATAAGTACTGGTAAATCAAAGAGATTTATTCAGGGAGGGAATTTCTAAATTACAAGCTCCTCAACAGCAGATTATCTCATTCCTTTTTCTATACCCCCCACATCATATAACATGATGCCTAACACATCAAAGATACTCCATTAAAATCTGTTGAATATGTTTATTGAGAAATTACTAAAAACAAATTATTGTTCCATACTTGGCAAGCAGATCCAGGAGGAAGTAGCAATAGAGAAAGGAGAATAATAAAGGTCAAATTCAGAGACCCTTGAAGAATAAGCATGGCTAGGGCATATACTCGTGAAAATATTTGAGAAAGAGAAGTGTGTTAAAATCATGGCACCTTAAATGCCATGTGTTGAACTTTTGTTTCTTTCACAGAGAGTTGTTGAATAGTTCTACAAGAAAATATCATCATAATATTTAATCCTAAGTGCTTTGGTTTATGAAGGCTCTGCTCTTCTGGCTCCTTTTAAAGGTTTCATTACCAGAACAGATACTGGGGAAATTACGGGGCTACCTTAACCTGGTGCCCCCAAACCATTGAGGTTTCAGACTTATATCCACAACACGGTCTTGGGCTATACAGAGAGCTTTGTTCCTTTTTATTCGAATTTATATCAAATATTAATTAATTTGTCAGTAGGGCAAGGGTCAATACATGCCTCCGGTCATATGAAATTACAGAAAGAGATGTATATTATACAAAAACTGGTATCTAAAGGAAAGTGATTCTATAGTTTCTGGTATCTTTAATTATTCTCCCTGAATGTAAGCAACTATTTCCTTGTATCAAATCCAAGTCTTATCAATCAATCAATACTTCCTGAGTACCTGCTATGTGAAATGCTTCATACAAGCCCCAGTTAGTAATAACAGTAGAAGCAAATTCTCAAACTTCAAAAGCTTAGCACCTAGTTAGGCAGAAGCTTTAGAGAAAACTTGATGGATCTACCTTTTGATCCCTTCCACCAAGAGGAAACAGTCTAAGCATTTATTATTGTAAAGAACATATATCCAAATCTCTGAAGCTTAGTGAACAATACAAATGTCAATTTGACCTCCAAAAACTATAATTCTCTTACTATACTCTCTGACTCAAAATTTACCAATGATACACTATCATTTCATCATTCATTCAACAATTATCTATTAAATACTTTTATGTGTTAGGCATTATGCTAGGCAATAGAAATTAAAAGATAAAAACATTTAGCTTAGTAGTTAAGATATATGTACTCCATCTTCCAACTTCTAAGTCAGGCTCTGTTTTAAAAGCCTAAGTATTAACTCAATTTTCATCTAAACAAATGATGTAGCTACTATTATTAGCTTCAGTTTGTAAATGAGAAAATAAGAATTTCAACTCTATTTCAGGATCCAGATTAAATTTTATCTTTATAGGAAAGTGTCTCCTCAGACAACCTCCTCCTCTGAGGTCTTCTCCCTTGTCAAAAATCTTCAAGTGGTCCTTTGTCTCACCTGCTGGTATCTTATTATTATATTCTTGCTTACTTTTTAAATGCAAGGCCACTTCCAGTTGAATATTGGGAAACTGAATTAGAAAAAATATATTTGAGGACAACTTAAAAGGTTGAGGAAAGAAAGTATTTTGGAGAAGTATTTTCTTTGTCGAAATTTGGTGTTTCTGATATGTCTTAATGGACAATAAATAGAACACAATAACCAACTATAAAACTGTCCTAGGAAATCTGAGCCTATGTTCATAGCATTTTAGATGTTTATATTATCAAAAGGCAGTGAGGCTAGGAGACAAGGGTACAGACTGTGAGTCTAGTCAGAAGTGATGCACATGGCTCAGTGGATTTAGGCAAGTCATTTCAGTGTTTGTACAATGGGAATAGTAATATAATACATACTTCTGAGAATTATATAAAAAATGTATGTAAGATACCTGTGATCATTTCTCTTTACCCCTAACTATACTATAAGTTTCTGAGAGAGAGGGAAAAAAAAACATACCTTATACATATCTTTATATTCCTATTGGGGCTTAAATACTTTGCACAGTGTGTGATTAATAAATACATGTGCATAAGTGTAAGCATGTGTCAGCATGTGTGTGTCAGCATGTAAGTGTGTGTGTGTTCAGAAGATTTAGGTGTCTTAGAATAGAGCTGATAATTAAAAGAAAAGCACCTATGAACATCGATGCAACTACCTTCATTAAGAAATCTTGAAGCGGCCGGGCACGGTGGCTCACGCCTGTAATCCCAGCACTTTGGGAGGTCGAGGCGGGCGGATCACGAAGTCAGGAGATCGAGACCATCTTGGCTAACACGGTGAAACCCCGTCTCTACTAAAAAAATACAAAAAAAAAAAAATTAGCTGGGCATGGTGGCAGCCGCCTGTAGTCCCAGCTACTCGGGAGGCTGAGGCAGGAGAATGGCGTGAACCCGGGAGGCGGAGCTTGCAGTGAGCCAAGATCGCGCCACTGCACTCCAGCCTGGGCGACAGAGCCAGACTCCGTCTCAAAAAAAAAAAAAAAAAAAATCTTGAAGCACAAGAATTACTATTAAATGGTTAACATTGGTGCTATGGTTTTCTTGTGTCCCCCAGATTTCATGTGTTGGAAACATTCCCTAACATGACAGTATTTAAAGAGGAGACCTTAAAGAGGTGATTGAATTTTAATCCATTCATGGATTAATGGATTCATGGGTTATCATGGGAGTAGGCCTGGTGGCTCTACAAGAAGAGGAAGAGAGACCTGAGCAAACACCCGAGCACACGCAGTCCCTTCACCACATGACGCCCTGTGTTGCTGCTGCCACAGGACTCTACGGAGTCCCCACCAGCAAGGAGGCTCTCACCAGATATGGCCCCTCAACCTTGGACTTCTCAGCCTCCATAACTGTAGGAAATAAATTTCTTGTCTTTATAACTTACCTAGTTGCAGGTGTTTTGAAGCAATAGAAAATGGACTGATAAAATTGGACTGAGGATACTTCCATGCATTTCTTTTTCTTTACTTTGTGAAATTGTGGTTATCTATTTAGGAGTTAGCATCTGTTCTACAATTTTCCCAGGATGACTATGAATACCAAATAAGATAATATATGAAAGCACCTTTGCAAATTAAAAGTAGTATAAAAATGGACTATACTATTATAAATAGAGGCTTCCATATAACTGATCATCAATTTGACACTTTATAAAACTTAAGCTTACTATAACACAGAAACTTGAGTCGCAGTCTTTGAAATCTATTTCTGGAATTACCTTGAGGCCAGACTTTCAAAACCCTTTTATATGGAAATTTATTAAAGAAAAGAATCATTCTATAATGTTCTTTCCCCTCTTCTTTATTCCACTGAGAAGTTAGAACACTTCTCAAATATGCCAGTTCAAAAACCCCTAATGGCTAGCTGCCAAGACTGAATTTATATGGACCAAATTCTCTAGAAATGACACTCAAATTCCCCACTCAGTTGTAATAAACTCATTCAGAAATATTTTTATTTCATAGAATTGATTTCTTCATAAGTCTTCATGAAGCCAGCATTATATATTATCTATTTTCACTTGTGGGAAGGGAAATGAAATATACTCAGCTAATAGATAAAATATTAAATAAAAAGTTAGGTATTAAAAGACAAGGCATTGGGGACTGGAGAAAAAATGGGTCTCTAGATGTCTTGAGAATACAATGGCATAAAATGAGAGAAATATTTTTTCTGTGACATATTTTATATGTTATTTTCAGAACAGTTTTAGACTTAAAGAAAATTGAACAGAAAGTACAGAGAGTTTCCATATATCCCTTCTCTCCTGTATAGTTTCTCCATTAACATTTTGCGTTACTGTAGTCGATTTGTTACAATTGATGAGCTAATATTAATACATTATTATTAACTAAAGTTCACAGTTTAAATCAACATTCACTCTTCATGTATATCTGCTGTGGGTTTTAACAATTGGGAGGAAGGATACAATAGAGCTTATCTTTCAAGATCTAGTGACTTCTTCAATGCAGTGAAGTGCCAGTATCACTTGCAATGTAGGTATGTAAAAGTAATCATTTGCTTAGCAAATGAAGAAGCTGTTATATAGGTAATTTTATTTGTTTTAAAATCTTTAAAGGTCCTAGGGATTTAACAGATCCAAGAAATATGGTTCTTGGCTTCAAGGAGGGTATGAACCAGTGAAAGATAAACATTGACTGCTTAGTACCTGTAGAGATATTGGAACAGACAATGAGGAAAAGGGAGGAATTCAGGGATGAGTGTTTGCCTTTTGGGGTGGCTATTAGAGTGTAAGGATGTTGCTATTCAACAAAGGGGAACTTGAGTTTTGATGGGAAAGTGAGTTGACCAATAATTTAGTTTTGAACGTATTATATTTGAGTTTCCCATTAGACATTCAAGTGGAGATACTAGGTAAACATTTGAATAAATAAGACCAGAATTTAGAAGTCAGACAGGAGTGGGGGATAGCTACTTGGAAGTCATCTACATATTAATGATATTTGAAGCCCAGCAAGAGAACCTCCTAATCAATTTGTTTTATGCAATGAACAAAATGGAAGGAAGAAAAAAGAAGCAACAGAAATATAAATCTGAAATTATTTTGTTTTTCCTTTGTCATGGCTCTCTAACTAAAAGAAACAAAATAAGGGGAGGAAGCAGTAAGAGCTGTATCTATTGGGAGCTGTTTGTTCTCTTGGTAGATTGTTTACTTTCTTTACAAGTTTAGAAGAGATACCTTTGACTTGTGATCTAAAGTTCCTGCCAAGGTAAAACATTTAAAAAAAATTGCTTCCTGAGTGTTTTCAGGATTGAAGGAATATCACTACAATAGCTGCAGTTTCTTAGAATAAAGATATTAGAAATTTGGAGGTTGAAGAATGCAGAAATTTGTCCTCTTTTATTTTTGTTAACTAATTTTGAACATATAAAGTTTGTTATAGCAATTTAAAGACATTTAGTTTTTTTCAATAAAGCATCAATTTTGAGTTTGATATGTCCAAATTTCTATTCTTAAATTTTAAACTATCATTGACATTTTAAGTGATTTTGATTTAGCTTGAAAATTAAACTCCTAACATGACTATGCAGAGTGATATAATTATCTACCTAGTTAGGGTAAAGAGGAAGGTTTTGCATTTAACTGGAAAACTTTAGGTGAAAGGTGATATACTTACTTACATTTTATGTGACCATACATTCTTTATTTAAGTTTGAACTGTATCAGAAATCATTACATCAGAATGTTTCTATTTAATATTTTTGGTATTTTAATAAATATTTTTATGTTTTCAACTCAATCATGTATTTGTTTATTCACCCCCCCCAGTTTTCATTTTTCTTGAGTTCCATTTGTTTTGATTAATGTGTCTTGAATTTCGGGGAAGAATTTGTAATGATTGATATTGTGCTGAACTGAATCTCTCTGACTGAGCACTCCAGCAGAAACAAAAAGCACCATGTTTTGACCTTTACATTTCTCTTAACATACATTGTATAATGAGATGTTAGCAAATCACCCTCCAACCCTGTCAGCAAAAAAATTACAAAGTTTCAGGTTTCAAATCTCTTGCCCTTGCAGAAGTGGACTTCCCTTCCGGAAGCTGTGAGTATATAGTTTTTGGACAAGTTATGTCCTGAAACATGATTAGCATTCCTGTCGAAGCACAATATCTTAACTAAGTCAGGTACTATTTCCGATATGCCAGTGATAATGATTGTTTGGCTATGATTTTTCATCTCTTCTTGTTGTGTCTCCTTCTTTGGGAATGATTCCATTTTGTTTTCTGTAATTAATATTTTTATTTTAATAGGAGTCAGTAACCTAATACAGCCTCTCATGGAAAAATTCTAATGTGGCTGGGATTTAGTGTTTTTCTTAGAATGAGAAACTTCCTGGATTCATCTGGAATACACATATTATTTTACGAAACAAACAAACAAACAAAATCCATTGAGAGCAACACTTTAAGGAGTATGCAGAGTAACAGATTTTAGACCCTGAGAGAAGCTCATTTCCACTGTAGCTATGTCTTTCTTATCACTTTTTGCTATTCGCATCCAGTCTATACATCATTCACCTTCAGACAGGCTCACAATACAAATTCTTAGTGGTAGATCTTTGCTCAGCCTTCACAGCCAACTAGTTATTTGACCAAAACTAAGGATAGCAAAGAGGGTAAACGTTTTAGACAGGGCTCTAGTATGGAAAAGTTCAAATTATTCTTTCCTTGAACAAATATTTAGGTAAAACACAAAGATAAAAACATAGTGAGGGAAATTCAAAATTGTCAAGATATCAGTTCTGCCCAGCTTGATCTACAGATTCAATACAATTCCAATCAAAGCTGCAGCAAGTTATTTTGTTTACATTGACAGTGATTCTAAGGTTTACATAGAGAAGCAGAATAGTCAACAAAATATTGAAGAAAAAGAGCAAAGCTGGAGGACGGACACTGTCCAACCTCAAGACTTAAAGCCATAAAGACTATAAAGCTATGGTCACCAAGATACTGTGGTACTGGTGAAAAATACAGATACATAGATCAATGGAACAGAATAGAGAGTTCAAATATAGAATCATATAAAGATAATCAACTGACTTTTGACAAAGAAACAAAGGCAATTTAATTAAGAAACAGTCATTTCAACAAATTGTGTTAAAATAACTGGACATCCATGCGCAACAACAAAAAAAATTTAGCTACGTACCTTACACTCTTCACAAAAACTAACTCAAAATGAGTCAGGGACCTAAATTTAAAATGCAAAACTATAAAACTCCTACAAGGTAACCTAGGAGAAAGTAGGTATGGAAATAACTTCTTTGGTATAGCAATAGGGGCAGAATCCAAACTTCTTTGATATAGCAATAAAGGCAGAATCCATGAAAACCAGAATTGCAAAGCAGGACTTCATTAAAATTTAAAATTCCTGCTCTGCAAAAGACACGGTCAAGAGAAGGAGAAGACAAGCCATAGGCAGGGACAAATATTTGTGAAAACATCTGATAAAGGAGTGTTATCCAAAATATGCAAAAATTCTTAAAACTTAAAAATAGGAATACAAACAACTCAACTAGAAAACGGTCAAAATTCCTGAAGAGACATCTCACCAAAGAAGATAAACAAATGGCAAATCAATATATGAAGAGATGCTCAACATCATATATCATCAGGAAATTGCACATTAAAATGATAAAAAGATATCACTACATACCAATTCAAATGGCAAAAATCTAACACCAAATGTTGTTGGTTCCTGCTGTTCCATATCCTCACTAGCATTTGATGTGGAAGAACAGGAACTCTCGTTTACTACTGGTAGAAATGCAAAATGGTTCAGCCACTTGGGAAGACAGTTTGGCAGTTTCTAACAGAGTTAAACATATTCTTACCATATGATCCAGCAATCACACTCCTTAGTATTTACACAAAGAAGTTGAAAATGTATGTCAGTACAAAAACTGGCACAAGGATGTTTATAGCACCTTAATTAATAATTGCCAAAAATTGAAACCCATCCTTTAGTAGAGGAATCAATAAATAACCTGTGGTACAACGAGGCCATGGAGTATTATTTAGCACTAAAAAGAAATGAGCTGTCAAGCCAGGAGAATATATTAAGGAAACTTAAATGCATATTACTAAGTGAAAGAATTCAATATGAAAAGACTATATACTGTATGATTTCAACTATATGACATTCTGGAAAAGGCAACACCACAGAGACAGTAAAATAATCAGTGTTTCCTAGGGGTTAGCAAGGAGGGAGAAATGAATAGGGAGATCACAGAGCTGGAATGCAGTGGCACAGAAGATTTTTAGGGCAGTGAAACTATTCTGTATGATACTATCATTATAAATTCATGCAAATCCATAGGATGTACAACAGCAAGAGTAACCCTAATGTAAACTAAGGACTTCAGTTGATAATAATGTATCAGTGCGGGTTCATCGATTTTAACAACTGTACCACTTTGGTGCGGGATGTTGACAGTGGGGGAGGCTATGTGTGAGGAGACAAGGGGTATATGAGAACTCGCTGTTATTTCTGCTCAACTTTGCTGTAAACCTAAAACTCTTAAAGTCTATTAAAAAATAACAAAATTATAAGGAGAAATAAAGTACAGTGGGGAGTCACAGGAAAGGTGATATTCGCTCTGTTTAAAAATGACCTTAGAGATAGTCCATATCTAATGTTATTCTCAGAATATACCACTCATGTATCTGTATTTCTTTTTTATTGATAATATCCATATAGTATTAGAGATTAATATCGCATGGATAGGAGTCTAGTAAAGGAAATAACTCAATTATAGAACACCCACTGTTTCAAATACCGGTGGTTCACAAATACCTTTAATCTTCAAAATTACGTGTAGGTAACTATTATTGACTCCAACTAACACATCGAGAAATGAGGTTTAGAGAAGTCAAGCAGCTTGCCAATGATAATAAATGGCAGTACCTGTCCCCTAACATCTTCATCCTCAGCATAATGCTCGTCTTCATGATTCTTCTCATCACTGGAGTACATATGATAGGTAAACTGCCACGATCACTGCCAGTTCTTTATGTGAATTATCTTTTTTTAATACTCATAATAATACATTGAGATTTATACCATTTCTGCCCTTCTTTAAGGATGAGTATTACATTTTATGATTAAATAATTCTCAGTGTCTGACTCTCCCATTGATTTGGGGCTTCAAAAACCCGAGAACCTACCACAACACCTATCACATGGGAAATGCTTAGTAAACAGTTTTTAAATTCCTGAACGTATAAATTAGCAAATTGTTTTGAGAGTTATAACTATGCCACTTATCTAAAAAAATTGCTTAGTATTTGTACAGAATATGTAAAGGGATAAATTGAAGAGACTGAAAAGAGAAGCAATGACATTCCAATTGCCCCTTTTCTTTCCTTCAATTCCATTCAAACTGGACCACTATATTTGACTCTTAACAATTTTGTTTTGTTTTCTTTCTAATCACTTATCACATCCCCCATCTTTGTTTTTTCCACTCAACATTATGGCTAAAATCTAGTTAATAAAGAGCAGTGATTTTAATTATAGGCCCAGCTACTTCTCACCAACCTATTAAAGAATCTCCCTCCCACTATAAATACAGGTATACAGATAGGAAGTGAATTTCCCAAGGCAGCAGGTTTAACCCTTACAGAGAATAACCTGGGAAGGAATTTTCAAATGGTTCAACTTTTTACAGCTTCAGTCAAAATACTTTCAAGAGATTTCTGCTGACTGGCTCCATGGAGCGCATCCCTGGCACAGGCCTGAACGCCCACTGGCAAGACGCTGTGGAGTGAACCGAGTGGCAGGAGGGGAAGCAAGGCTGTGTTCTTTACATGAGTATCCCTCCTTTGAATGGTTGTCTCCTAGATGCTAAATCAGGGGAAAGGATCTCTTCCTTTTGCTGCAACTCTCAAACTTGTTTTGTTTGTGGAAAGCCACCCAGCTTGTTAGACTCTTAACTCTGTTTATTAAACTGATAAAATGGGCCCGTAGTCTCTCTATCAGGCCCAGTAAACACCTTGCTGTCTTTCCTACCAATCAGCTATCTTTCCCCAGTATTTCTGCAGTCCACAAAAAGATTAATTCCTGGCAAAAGAAAACCAAATTCTATATACTTCCTTTTTTTGTTGTTGTTGTTAATCACATTTCTTTACGTTGTAATCGGGAGTCTAAAACAAGTTAAGATTGTAAACCATATCTGTATTTATATTTATGTTTACAGAAACCATAGGTGACCAAGCCATGATTACAGACTGAATTATGTTTCCAGTACTACTTTTGAACACTCAAAATAAGACTCTTAAAAATGTAAATTAATGTACCTAAAGTCTTTTTATTTTCGACATATTTTAACATTTCTCTATGAAAAATTAGTTATTGTTTTTTGAGAATATGGGTAATTAGAAATATATATAAAGTACACGTATAAGGAAATGGGTAACACTATCACAGTTATTTTGAAATTTTAAAAAGTCCGTAACAGTGAATAAGAACATATAAATCATCACAAAAATTAATCGGGTTATTAATAAGACTGATTTATCACTATAAATTAGGATAAAAGACTCTTTATTATTATTATTATACTTTAAGTTTCAGGGTACATGTGCACAATGTGCAGGTTTGTTACATATGTATACATGTGCCATGTTGGTGTACTGCACCCATTAACTCGTCATTTAGCATTAGGTATATCTCCTAATGCTATCCCTCCTCCCTCCCCCCACCCCACAACAGTCCCCAGAGTGTGATGTTCCCCTTCCTGTGTCCACGTGTTCTCATTGTTCAATTCCCACCTATGAGTGAGAACATGCAGTGTTTGGTTTTTTGTCCTTGCGATAGTTTGCTGAGAATGATGATTTCCAGTTTCATCCATGTCCCCACAAAGGACATGAACTCATCATTTTTTATGGCTGCATAGTATTCCATGGTGTATACGCGCCACATTTTCTTAATCCAGTCTATCGTTGTTGGACATTTGGGTTGGTTCCAAGTCTTTGCTATTGTGAATAGTGCTGCAATAAACATACGTGTGCATGTGTCTTTATAGCAGCATGATTTATAGTCCTTTGGGTATATACCCAGTAATGGGATGGCTGGGTCAAATGGTATTTCTAGTTCTAGATCCCTGAGGAATTGCCACACTGACTTCCACAAGGGTTGAACTAGTTTACAGTCCCACCAACAGTGTAAAAGTGTTCCTATTTCTCCACATCCTCTCCAGCACCTGTTGTTTCCTGACTTTTTAATGATCGCCATTCTAAATGGTGTGAGATGGTATCTCATTGTGGTTTTGATTTGCATATCTCTGATGGCCAGTGACGACGAGCATTTTTTCATGTGTTTTTTGGCTGCATAAATGTCTTCTTTTGAGAAGTGTCTGTTCACATCCTTCGCCCACTTTTTGATGGGGTTTTTTGTTTTTTTCTTGTAAATTCTAGGAATCCAACTTACAAGGGACATGAAGGACCTCTTCAAGGAGAACTACAAACCACTGCTCAATGAAATAAAAGAGGATACAAACAAATGGAAGAACATTCCATGCTCATGGGTAGGAAGAATCAATATCGTGAAAATGGCCATACTGCCCAAGGTAATTTATAGATTCAATGCCATCCCCATCAAGCTACCAATGACTTTCTTCACAGAATTGGAAAAAACTACTTTAAAGTTCATATGGAACCAAAAAAGAGCCTGCATTGCCAAGTCAATCCTAAGCCAAAAGAACAAAGCCAGAGGCATCACGCTACCTGACTTCAAACTACACTACAAGGCTACAGTAACCAAAACAGCATGGTACTGGTACCAAAACAGAGATATAGATCAATGGAACAGAACAGAGCCCTCAGAATTAATGCCACATATCTACAACTATCTGATCTTTGGCAAGCCTGAGAAAAACAAGCAATGGGGAAAGGATTCCCTATTTAATAAATGGTGCTGGGAAAACTGGCTAGCCATATGTAGAAAGCTGAAACTGGATCCCTTCCTTACACCTTATACAAAAATTAATTCAAGATGGATTAAAGACTTACATGTTAGACCTAAAGCCATAGAAACCCTAGAAGAAAACCTAGGCAATACCATTCAGGACATAGGCATGGGCAATGACTTCATGTCTAAAACACCAAAAGCAATGGCAACAGAAGCCAAAATTGACAAATGGGATCTAATTAAACTAAAGAGCTTCTGCACAGCAAAAGAAACTACCATCAGAGTGAACAGGCAACCTACAAGATGGGAGAAAATTTTTGCAACCTACTCCTCTGACAAAGGGCTAATATCCAGAATCTACGATAAAAGACTCTTAACTTTTACAGCCATAAGCCCTTTTAATAATCTAATGAAGGTTATATAACATCTCCCCTAAATAATGCAAACCAACACACAGGATTTGATAGATCAATATTATGTTAAGTCCATGGGAATAGATTTAAAACACTGTGAAGACAGGGCCCATCGCTGTCTGGTCTGTTTTTTATCCCAGTGTCTTCTACCATACTGGAAACACAGAATTTAGCACTGTTTTGGAGCTTAGGCAAATATAGTTCAAAATGAAGCAAAAATTGTATTTACAACAATCAAAAAAGAGGATGCAGAACTATTATTTTGCATACGGTATGATTATAGACCAGGATATCAAAGAAAATGGATTTAAATAAAATATGAACATTAAGAGTTCAGCAAAGTGACTAAGCAGAAGATAAATATAAACTAAACTATAGTTTTCTTTTGTACTAACAATGTCTACTTAGAAATAAGAAAGGTGAAGCCTCAGCCTGCAGTATTAACAAACACACGATTGATGACCTAGAAATACTTTTAATAATCAGTACAAGAAATGAAAAGCTATAAATATTTATTGATAGACTTAAAAGAAGCATTGACAAATTGGAAAACTATACCAGCTCCTGATAACAAGACTCAATATTCTTAAAGTTTTCCAAAATGACATACTTTCAATCAAAGCACAAATGGGATTTCTCTACACTTGAAAGAATAAGTCTCAAATTTATTAGAGAAGAAAAATGTTTGAAAAGGACATTAAGACTATTTTGGAACAAATTATAGCTAATGCATACATAGCACTTACTACTAACCACTGTAAATACATTTAATTCTCATTGGAGTTCTCACAGAAAATCTCTATGGTAAATGCTATGAATATCTCAATTTTACAGATAGAGAAATTGAGACACAAAGATGTGAAGTAGCTAAGGTCACACAGTTAACTAGTAGGCATGTTGGGATTCACAACCAAGCAGTTTAGCTCTAGAGTCCATGTGCTTAAGTACTCTACCAAATTGTTTCTCAAGGCTAATAAAATAACTATAATCCCACCAATTGAAAATCATAATAAAAACTTCATAAAAAATGGTGTTCTTTACAGAACAAACAGATTCTATAAGAACTAACATTTTCTGAGCATTTATTGTGTGCCAGACACCTTACATGTATTATCTCACCCCTCACAAAAACCTTCATATAGGTTCTTCTTTGTGTCCATTTTAGGGATGAAACACCTGAGTCATGTAGGTTAAGCAATTTGCCCAGGATTGTGGTGTTTCTGGTACTAGTAAGTGGTGGAATTAAGATTTAAACCAGGCTTACATTTATATTGCTTGCATCCTCTATTTGTGAAAGTGCTAACAGGTAAAGATATGAAATACGACTCAATAAAGGGCACTGAGGCAACTAAATAGCTAGAAAAAAATCAATAAGCATTCTAATCTCACTTCATATATCAACAAAAACTCAGATGAATTAAAAGTCAAAATATAAAAATCAAATTAACTTACAGAAACTTAAAAAGGAAATAAATACACCAACTCCCTGAATATAAGAAAATACAAAGGAAAAAATTTAAGTTGTATATATAAAAGTTATGAATGAATTTTAAGGGCAAAATGTAAATTGGGAAAAAACTTCAAAAAGATTACAGACATAGCTATAAGGAACTCACAGCAGTTAATATATGAAAGACTATTATAATACTAATAGACTAATGAATAAAGAACATGCTAAACTTACATGAATGAACATACATGTATGACATATGAATAAAAAATGCAACTTAATGCTGTATATATATTTTATTTGATAAAATTTGCACAGCATTAAAATTAACAATACTCGATGTTTATGTGGATGCAATGATTAATATTTTCCTATACTGCTACAAGAAGTAGTAACTAAGACAACATTTTCAGGAAATAATTTAGTAATATGCATCAAGTATCTTAAAAGTATTCAGATACTTTGATACAGTGATTCCTCATAGAGAAATCTATTCTGATTAAATAATTTGATGTGTTTACATATAATAGAGCAATATGATAAAAATATTAGGGAAGCCTTAAAATTACACTTTCAAATGCTTTATAATAATCAGAATCAGGAAAAGCTTATACTGGATTATATGAAAATGCAGGGCTAAATATTAGATATTATGACCTCAATAATACATGGTACATAAACTAATCAAATAGAAGGCAGAAAATAAGGAAAAAGAAAAAAATGGGTAATTAAAAGAACATAAAATAAGATTTTAGAAATACATCAAGGTACATAAGAAATTATAATAAATATAAGTGGATTAAACTGTTTTACTTGCTAAATGGCAGTGTGTCAGAACAAACCTATAACAACAATTAGCCAACATGCCTTGAGTATTTAGAAGAAATAAAACATAAATAACACCAAAGCATGATTATTTCTCTTAGGTGGCATTATGGGCAGTCCTTATTATCTTAGCATATTTTTTGTATATCCACATTTTCCTATGATAAAGGATATATTACTTTAATAGAAATTACTATTAAAGCAAAAATTAACATGAGTTCATTATTGTATTTAAGTGCATTTCTCTTATAGTGATTATTTGGACAAAATATTATATGCTCACAACTTTATCCTTGCACCAATTAAAAAACAAAAGAATTCCTGGAAGTTGTGGTGCATATAATAAACCAAAACTATTTCCAAATAAGTTTTAAATAAGCCTGTAACAAGTTCCCTCTGGATACACAGTTAATAGATTATTTTTTTGCTTTTAAATGAGGACATGCTACCACCACACTTTCTTATTACAGGATGGAAGACAGCTCTGTAGGGGAGTTCATCTTCAAACTGTGTTTCCTAGCAACATTCTTTAAACCAGAGTGTCTTTTTTTTATATCAAACATTCACATCTGTAGAAAATGCTTGAAAACTTTTCTCTTATCCTGTGACTAAACCATGTGAACTAGGTAGCAGGCAGCTGGAAAGGGAGAAAAGGAATATCAATTCAAAAATCACTAGAATTTTCTTGTTTCCTTTGAAATATTATGACGCTTATGCTTTAAGTTTGGAGAAATACATTTGCATTTCTCTGTCACAGTTGTATGACTTTCATAATATTTTTAATTGACAAGAATGTGGACTGAAAAAGAACAGACACCATGACTATATCATCCTCATTTTTCTCAATACCAGAAATAGTCAACAAATAGCTGAAGAATACATTTAACTTAAAAAAGCATTGCTTGAATTAGATCATTCTCAACCATGAATGCAAATTAGGATCACCTGGGAATCTAAAAACATACCCCTCCCCTGGTTCAAAACTCTAGTTATTCTGTTTGGAGTCAGGCTTGATTAAAATTTAGGCTTGAGGAAATCTTCAGGTGATTGTAACACATGGCCTAATTAAAAGCATATATATTGTGCAAGACATAGAGTCAGTGATGAATAAATATTCTGGAATAATTACTGAAAGACGATCAGATGCATCTTAAATATTCTAGCTTGTAAGGAGATTTGCTCAAATGAGTCAAATGTACAGTTCAGATAATAAAACCACAAAGAAGCTAAAATGTAAAAATCAAAGCTTCATATGTGCAAAGCAAGTAAGAAAAAAAATAATTTTAAAAGGTCTTTGCTATTATAAACTATTTTACTTATACTAAATATGAAATATGTTAAATTCAAAGCATTACAATAGGAGACTATGTATGCATGAATATTGATACTCATGTTAAGCTTAGAAGGTACACCAGGTGGGCTTAGTGAAGATGGACTACTATTTTCAGCTCTATCATATGATTAGGCATGGCATAGATCCTGAGAGATGGGCAACAGGAGAAAGAGGTCCAGATGAGATTATTTCCTCTGAAAGTACTAGTTCCTATTGTCTTAGAGGAAAGATTATCTAGATAAATATTCATATAACTCAGTTTTCTGTGTTTCATGTTACAGAAAGTTTACAGAGAACTCTCTGGGAGAGTGAGTCAGAAACCAAAATCAATCTGGGACAATATATCATTTATTTTCATACTGGAATGACTTTCAAATCATCTACTTTTATTTTTGTTAATGACACATGTTTCTTCTATGTAACAGTCTCTGAATCAAACTAAGAAAAGGCATAAATATACTGATGAGGTATATTTAACCCATGTCTAAATAATCAGAACAAATCACTAATGGCATTTAAAGTATTCCAAAATGCTTGTTAGTTCAACTTGTTCTCTCTATATCATTCCATATGCCTACCTATTTTCCTGATACTTCTTTTGTTGCCTTATCCAATCATAATCAAGATTAATGCTTGGGAAACTGAGAAGTGACCCAAATTTATTACAGAAAATTCTTTTTCTACTTCTGCCTATCAGTCCCTGTACTCCTTCCCCTCAACATCTGATGCCTATTAAAGCCCCCATCCTCCTATCTTCATCTCTTCCTTCCCCACCAAAGAAACCAATTTTTTAAAAACGCTGTTCTCTGATCACTCACAGTAAATTATAAATAGCATATTAAATCACTAAACATATACAAAAACAAATCACATTTTACAAAGAGGGCAAAATGGTCTAGAATTAACATATAGAAAGCAAGTCAATTTCTTCTCCAACTACACATGACTGATATGTGAAATCAGTTTTATCATTTTTTAAATCAGAGTCCATTATCCAGAACTCACATGAGGAAAAATTTAGACAAAACGGTAAACCCAAATCACCTACTCGAGATCTGCATGAATGGGTGTGGTAGTCTTTTATATGTAATGTTACTGAACTAATAGCTGCAAAGCCCTTATCTATTTTCCATTTTCTGATCCTTCTTAGGAAGTAATAACACATTTTTGTAAGTCAATAGCTATAGCTGTGATACCCAAAATAGGGGCCTACTGGAGTAGTCAATATTTATTAAATGTATTTCTTAATCATTTATTTTGGTGAAGGGGTGCCATGCAAAAATAACCGAAAAATTAAGAGTGCTGTAACTTGCAAAAGTTTAGGAACCTCTGGCCATAGTATAGCCCTAATATGTGTAACTATGAAAACATCTACTATTGGATAAACTAATAGACAATCACCAAGCTCTACCAGGTCATTCTTCAAAAAATTTTGCACATGAATATCACCCTTTCCATTCCAGTTTATGTATATAGCTCAAATTCACACAATTTATAGCCATAGTACGTGTTCATTCTCTCTCCAAGTGTTCTTTCATCCAACCCTTTCAGCATAGTGCTATTATACAACACCCTGGAGTAAATATTTGGGTGGGTTTACAAAACTTCTGCATTGCACTTGTTTCCAGTACAACAATTATTCTCTGGGAAATAAACTTCCTCCATTCTCATTCTATGTGGATGTATGTGGGAGCACATAGATTCTATGCTTATCCAGTTATAACACTAAATTACTGAATTCTTCTATTCACAGGAGGTGAAAGATAGGTTTGTAGTCTACTACGGGTAAATCTGTGTAATTCCATCGTTTTAGCCCCAGTGATTGGCTAAGAGATAAGCTTCTGACCTTAGAAGTTCCAAGCATAGAACACAGTAACTTTACTCAGAAGCAAACCAAAGTTTCCCTCTCTTTTCTACCGGACTGAATGCTTTGAGGATATAAGCCTAAAACTGAAAAAAAAAGTGTCATGGAGCCTGAGAAGAAAATAGAGTCAAGAGAAGGATAAAAACAAGTTCCTGATTAAATCATCTGTGTTCCAGAGTATTCGTACAGCCATATTTACTTCTGAACTTTTCAGTCGTATGTATCAATACAAACCTGTTCTTTTCTTGGTCAGCTTTAGCTGGGTTCTCTGACACTTATTGTCAAAGGAGTACTAAGTGACGCACAATCTTTTACTACATCATCTACTTGCTTAAGAGTAAAGTTTCTTTTTGCACATAGCACCAATAGCAAATATTTTGAATAATGATTAAAATCTCTCCTTTCTAGCATTCTCACTTCTATATCATTTAAGCAGAAATGTATTTGTACTTGGCATTACAGACAAAGGTATTTATCATTATATCCTGAAAACTTGATGACTTTATTATTTTCTTTATAACCATTTACTCAGCAAACGTATTTACATCCACTTAGGAAAGAATATTCTCCTACATCCCCTTCAAACGTACATAAAAACTTACTAAAAGGAAATCCTCTTACTCAGATTTCCTAAATTGTCCAATTCACAATAATCTTTGGATCTCTAAAATCTAGCTGATTTTAGGTTTACTGACAATCAGGAAATAGTTGTTGAATAAATGAATACACTCATAGTATGTATCCACTATATAATCTGCCTTTTCCTTATTGCTAATCTGCTTTTTACTTTTTATTATATAATATTTACATTATTTATGACTTTGCGTCACCTCAAATAAATTTGTTCCTTGAGAGTACACTCTGTATTACACCATTTTGTATTCCTTGCAGCAGTTAGCACTAAAATTCTTGGAGCAAAGGTATTACTACAGACATTTTTCACAATCTTTATTCAGCTTGTTTGATAAGACAATGCTGTTTATTTTCATGTAGCATGCAATAATCACTACGAATTTCTTGCTTTTAATGAGTTACCTATTTTTTCTTTATCTTGATACAAATTTCTAAATGCCCAACAGAGAAAAAAAACAAGGACATAAAGTTTCACAAAAGGCAAAAGTCATAACACAAGTAGGATTGATTGTAACAAAGAATTTACGTGTCTCTGTGAACTTCATAACCTGTCTTCTCACAGAGGACCATAATTTCCTCCTATACATAGGAAATCAAGAACAAATCTATGCATATTTTTATTTCAGCCTTCAGTTAGTTTCTGTAATCTCCCTCCTTGCTGCCTGACACATATCTTATTTTTAGGTGATATAATACTAGACCCTTGATTTTTGTCTCACTCCTTTCTTAATTTTCTTTTTCTCATTCCTAATCCCCATCATTTGGCTCATTTTGCATAACATATAAAAAAGGAGAGAGAAGGAGAACATTCTTGGTTCAGCATAAAATGCTCAATTTATTTCTCTTTGGGGAATTTTATGTCTGGTATTGCTTAGAGAAGCAGGATCTTTGTTGTTTTCTTAGAATATTTGAGTAAGCTAAGGGACTTTAGAAAACACATGCCAGAGAAATGGCCTTTACTTAACTGTAGGAAGAATATTGGAAAATCCTTTGGAGAAGTAGTAAATAAAATTCTGATGGGTGACTGGTTTTCGAAAAGAGCTGCCAACCAATGTTCTATAAAGAAACAGTAAAGTGTGCTGTTTATAATATTTGATAAATTTAATATATATAATTAAAGTCATCATGGTGCCTTAAAATTTCAACATGAAAAACCATGACATTGATTTAGTTCTTGCACATGAGCCAACTCCAAGGCACAGCCTGTTAATCAATCTCTGAATAAACCAAGGCTGGGATATGTGACCTCGCTGCCCTTCAGACTCCTCAGTCGTGTTGATTTTATTTTTGTAATATTATAATTTTATATGGACTATGAAAAATTAATTCAAAACAACTAATTGAAAGCTATATAATGTGAACAAGTCTCATTAACAAATAGAAAGTGCATTAAGCATGTAAGCCTTCGAACAACTAGGATGATCTCTTCCTTTGGAAATAAGTGTTTTTTCATATCTTAGGTTTCTTACTTTGATTCTTTCATAAAACAAAATATTGAGATCTGAAAGATAAAGAAGTTGGGTGTCACTCAAAAAATGTAAAATACTCTAGTAGGCCCCTATTTCGGGAATCATGGCGATAGCTATTGAATTACAAAAATGTGTTATTACTTCCTAAGAGGGATCAGAAAATGGAAAATAGACAAAAGTTTTGCAGCTACTAGTTCAGTAACATTACACATAATGGACTATCACACCCATTCATAAAGATCTTGCGTAGGTGATTTGGGTTTACCATTTTTGTCTAAACTTTTCCTCATGTGAGTTCTGGATAATGGACTCCGATTTTTTTAAAAATGGTAAAACTAATTGAACATGTCAGTCATTTGTAGTTGGAGAAAAAATTGACTTGCTTTCTATATGTTAAGTCTAGACCATTTTGCCCTCTTTGTAAAATGTGATTTGTTTTTGTATATGTTTAGTAATTTTATGAGCTATTTATAACTTACTGTGAATGATCAGAGAACAGGGTTCTTTTTTTTTTTTTAATTGTTTCTTGGCTGGGTGCAGTGGCTCACGCCTGTAATCCCACCACTTTGGGAGGCTGAGGCCGGCGATCACCTGAGGTCAGGAGTTCGAGACCAGCCTGACAAACATGGAGAAACTTTGTCTCTACTAAAAATACAACATTAGCCGGGCTTGGTGGTGCATGCCTGTAATCCCAGCTACTCGGGAGGCTGAGGCAGGAGAATCGCTTCAACCCAGGAAGTAGAGGTTGCTATGAGCCAAGATCGTGCCATTGCACTCCAGCCTGGGCAACAAGAGCAAAACTCTATCTCAAAAAAAAAAAAAAAAAAAAAAAAAAGGAAAAAACTGTTTCTTTGGTGGGGAAGGAAGAGGTGAAGATAGCAGGATGGGGACTTCAATATATTAGGCATCAGATGATGAGGGGAAAGTTTACAGGGACAGATAGGCAGAAGTGGAAAAATAATTGCCTATAATAAATTTGGGTCACTTCTCAATTTCCCAAGCTTTAATCCTGATTGTGATTGGATAAGGCAACAAAAGAAGTAAGTATCAGAAAAACAGGCATATGAAATGGTATAGAGAGAACAAGTTGAAGTAACAAGCATTTTGGAATATTTTAAATGCCATTAGTGATTTGTTCTGATTATTTAGACATGGGTTATATAAACCTCATCAGTATATTTATGCCTTTTCTTAGTTTGATTCAGAGACTGTTACATAGGAGAAACTTGTGTCATTAACAACAATAAAAGTAGACGATTTGAAAGTCATTCCAGTATGAAAATAAATGATATATTGTCCCAGATTGATTTTGGTTTCTGACTCACTCTCCCAGAGAGTTCTCTGTAGACTTTCTGTAATGTGCAATGCAGAAAACTGGGTTATATGAATATTCATCTAGATCTTCTTTCCTCCATGACAATAGGAACTAGTACTTTCAGAGGAAATAATCTCATCTGAACCTCTTTCTCCAGTTGCTCATCTCTCAGGACCTATGCCATGAGTCTGTTTATTTGATTCTACCATTTGGGGTTTTAACCTGGAAGTTATTAAATGCAATTCAAGGAAACTCAGGGTATTAACTTCAAACTTTTCTGTGGAAAACTGTCTAAATATGCCTGACCTTCACTGAGCCCAGAGTTAGATACTTAAATCTTAATGTTAGTCTAGCTATAATAGCAAATTGTCAGATGGTGACAGTTGTCGAAGGGAAAATATGCCAACTTGTTCAAGAAGCTCACAAACAGGAAAGTTCATACTCACAATTATTTTGGCGAAATTCAGTTCTTAGAGCAGCTCAAAACCAAGTGATTAATTGCAATGGAAAATGACACACTTGAGTGCCTAGGTTTTGAAACAGTATACAAAGACAAGTAGCCCAAAATTTAGAGAAAAATAATGCACAGAAGCAAATATATTATTAGGCTTACCACTTCTTTAATGAATGTATTGAATTCATTAAAATGATGCCAACATAAAGCTCTTCTATCAAAAAGTTTTGTTAAAAAAGGAAAATAGTATTTGTCCAACAGATACACAATTATGTTTCTGTCTCAAGGAAGCAGAGAAATTTCTGGTTGCAGAAGGTAGGAAAAAACAAAGCTAATAAGAAAAGTTATTATATATACATATATGTTTAATAGGAAATGTTTTGGTATAAAAATAGACACATACAACTTTTTAAATAATAATGGAATAAGATATTTAATTTCTGTGATTATTTAAACATATTCTCCTTAATAGAACATTATATTCATTGGCTCTAGTATCCTAAAAATATCTGAGAATAAAGGTGGTCATATTGATGGTTTAGTCAAATTTCCAATAAATAAGAAACATGCCTCTAGGATGTGGATATCATCCAATCTTACTTGGTTAATTTTTTCATGGGGTTCTATGAGGTTTAAATGGAACACTATATTCACTTTACTATACAAATTGTTGGGTATATTTTCTTCAAAGCATTCTTGTTACTTTGGTTTCAAGTCAATGAACATCTCATTAGAAAAGTATGCTTTTTTGAATTTGATTTTAGAAATGTTTAAACACTTGAAGTGTTTTCTTTCTCACATGCCGTGTCTGGTAAACAAAGCTAGTGAGATGGTTGCATACAGATATTAATTTCCTTGTAGGGTGCTCTGTAGATTAGAAAACCTTAAACTGTTTTCTGGGTTTTTTTTTTTTGGCTTTTACTAAATGATGTCAGCAATATTTAACCTGTAGCTATTTTGTGATCTCCAATTTCTTAGAAATAATATTCATATCAAAATTAAAAATATTGGTGGTAAAATCATTATTGGAGATAAAAAATAATGTTACCTTGAGATAGACACTGACTTTTTGACCTTTAAGTGTGATCAAAGAGAGAGGTGTTGGCCAGTTAACACAATTTACTTAAAAGACAAGAATAAGTCAGGATGTGATATGGCCTAGTAATTGCATTCCTTGGTGTTTATTCCAGAGAAATGCAAACATACATTCAAACAAAAACTTGTAAATAAATATTCATAGAAGCTTATATTTAATAGCCAAAAAAACCTGAAAACAATCCAGATATCCTTCAACAGGTGAATGTTTAAACCAACTGTGGTACTTACATACCATGATCTACTATAAGCTATAAAAGAAGTGAAATATTTATACATGCAACAACCTAGATGAATCTGCAGAGAATTTTGATAGATTAAAAAAGGTCAATCCCAAAAGGGTATATATAATGAAATCCTATATAATGGGATCCCACACTGTGTAATAGAATCCTATAATATAATCCTATATAATGGAATTCCATTATATAGTATGCAACCTTTTGGAATTGACTTTCCATTTATATAGAATGTTATAACATTCCTGAAATGACAAAATTACAGAAATATGGAACCAATTACTGATTGTGAGGGGTTAAGGAGGGGATGAGCAGGAGGGAAATGGGTGTGGATACAAATGGGCAACAGGAGGGATCATTGTGGTGACAGAAATGTTCAGGATCTTGACTGTATTAATGTCAATCCTGGATGTGATGTTTTACTATGGTTTTGCAAGATGGTATCCCTGGGGCAAACTGGGTAAATGGTAAATAGTATTACAACAACATGCAAATTTACAATTATCTCAGAACAAGAAGTTTAATTAAAAATCAGATTAAACAATATTTATGTCTAGACTTGATCCCCAGCTATTTTGAGTCAATTTATCTGGAAAGAGGTTTAGGCATGAGTCATTATATTTAAGTGTCCAGATGATCCTAATGTGCAGACAAGATGGAGAACTAGTCCTAGAGCACTCTTGTATATACGTGTGCCCAAAGGCACATGTGGTCAAGACAGCTACATCTTGGCCTGATTACCTTATTTTTATTTCCAGGAACACCATGTACCAGATGTGTCAAGTTGACCCACTTTCTTCATCTGTACATTGTAGATAATAATAGTTCTTCCTATGAGATTTTATGAGATTAAATGATTCAACATATGTAAATCATTGCCTGAGAAGTAAGCATTAGAAAGTGTTTTATATTATTTTTATCATCATTTATTATGCTATAGCAGTTTATGAAATAGTATAAGTTTTAAAACACACCTAAATATACATCAATAATAGCGTGGATGAATGAACTGTAGTTTCATTCCTACAATAGACTTATTCTAGTTTCACTGCAGTTTCATTCATAAATAGTGCATAGCAGTGAAAATAAATGAACTAGAGCCTCATTTGTCAATTATGATGGATTTTGCAAGCGTCATATTTATCATAAAAAGCAGGTTACAGAAAAAATGCAGTTGGTCTCATCCATTAAAAAATTTGAAAATGTTTCTATATATTGCTTTATAATTTAGACATCTGTAAAATAATATACACATCTATAATGAAAGAACAAAAGCATGCACAAGAAGGATAAATACTGAGCTACAAAATAACATGTGCTCCAATTGTGTTTATAATGTTCTATCCTTTAAATTTCGTTGTGACTTTGATATTTATTATCATTATAGGTTTTTGTATATCTGAAGTATTTCCTAATAAAAATAATGATAACTAATACGTATTTGTATTTACTAGGTTGTATACTAAATTCTTTATATAGATTATTCATTTTATCCTCCCAATAACCCTATAAGGTACTCTTATTATTATTATTTACCTAATTTTATAGATAGGAAAACTGAGGCAAAGAAAGTTTAAGTAATGATCCCAAGAATACATGGGTTGGGAATGGTAGAGCTGGGATTTGAACCCAAACTCCTGAGTATAGTGCCTAGAACATGGTAGGCATTTACTAAATAGGAGGTACCATCATTTCTAGTGGAAAGAATACAAGATTTTCAAATCAAATAGACATGGGTTTCAAGGTCAGCTCCCTGTGCTCCAGTTTTCCTGTCTCTATATGTAGCAGGTGATTGGAAGGATGAGAGGTAATGTACTAAAGGGCCCAGTACACAGCAGATATTCCAATAGTTGATAGCTATTGTTACATATTTAGTTTGGGGGCAATGAGGAACCATTACAGATTTTTAGTCTACAGAGTAATAAACTGACAAAAAAAAATGTAGAGGATGAAAGAGTGGAGAAATTTAGAATTGAATTATGTTTTGGGTTTTTACAGATATGGCCTTTAAAACATATTGGTACATCTTAAAATTGTATTGTATTCTAAAAGGAAGATCCTTGGGCAAATATCATGGACTGCAAAAACATATGTTAAGGCTTTTCATATCATTATAAATATCCTTTGGCCTAACACACTAAAACTTTAACAGGAACATTTGGAAGAAGCAAAGAAAAATTGCTCAAATTTTACATGTTTTGGTTTAAAAAATATTTTAGCAATCAAACCAATATGGAGAATCTATATTATGTTTTAAAATACATGTGTTATAATCAAAAGCTTAACCCAAGAAAGCTCTGTCAAAGTTGTGTTCAATAAGGAGGATTATAACTATCCTTTGAGGCATGAGTTAAGCTTATGTCTTATACATTTTATAATACACCATATTTCATTACATATAATGTATAATATGACAGGAAATCAAATTGCTAAAATTTTCAGGAATATATACTAATGATAATTCTTGCAATTTGTGTGTAAAAAGGTTAAAATAATTTGTATATCTTATAGCACTTTTTAGAATTTTTACTTAGGCATTTTCTGTTTCTTACCTAATGCCTCTCTGTCTTCATTATAATATGTTCCACTTTCTGTAAGAATTTAGTCACATGATTGTGATACTTTTATTGGGTTACTAACTACTAAAATTGCAGAGGAGAGTAGACAGCAGCATGGGGTTGGTGTCAGCCTGACTGGGGTTTAAGTCCTGGATGGGCTGCTTACCTTCTTATGGTTTGAGGCAATTATCTTTCCTCTCAACCTAAGTTTATGCATTTTTTAAAATGGGGTAATAATAGTACCAGATTCATAAGGTTGCTGTAAATATGCAACAAGAAAATGACTATAAAAATGCTTAGTACAGCTGGACACGGTGGTTCACGACTGTAATCCCGGCATTTTGGGAGGCCGAGGTGGGTGGATCACAAGGTCAGGAGTTCGAGACCAGCCTGACCAATATGGTGAAACCCCATCTCTACACAAATTATCTGGGCGTGGTGGTGTGCACCTGTAATCTCAGCTACTCAGGAGGCTGAGGCAGGAGAATTGCTTGAACCCAAGAGGCTGAGGTTGCAGTGAGCCAAGATAGCGCCACTACACTCCAGCCTGGGTGACAGCCAGACTCCATCTCAAAAAAAAAAAAAAAAAAAGAAAGAAAAAATGCTTAGTACATGCAATACAAACTATTATTGTAAACAGTATAATCAGTATTTCAAAGGCCATTTGAATATCAGAGGCATTTCGCTAAGCCCTCTCAAGATAACTATATAGTTAGAAATACTCAAGGCAGGGTAAGCAGAGCATTTCATTTATATTGTGGAAGCCTTTATTTGAGTCCACACAAATTCATTTAATGATTTTGATACTTGATATTGATTTGTTACACTTGACATAACTATACACTAAAAGTTTTTAATTTTGTAAATAATGATTGTGATTTTCTGTATCATGATAGGGAAAACACACACACACACACACACACACACACACACACACACACACACACACAAACAAAGCAACGGAAAAACCCTACCGAAATCTCTTAAGCTCAAGGTCTGTGCTGACTGATTAAATATGTAAGATCTTTTTAAAATTCATTTGGTATTTATAATAGCTCAATTTTCTCCTACTATAAAATCAAGATTCACAGTAGATGACTTCCGAGGTAACTTCAAGAAAGGGGCCCCATAAAAGTAAAAATAGTTTTTTATCATTTCCTCTCAAAGACTATCCAATCTCATTCAGTGGTGGACAAAAAACAAATATAAATTCACATTTTAGGAAAATAGAAATACCTTCCATTTCTAGAAATCACTCAATAAACCAGATTTTTTCTGTGTCAAGTTTTTCCTTCTCATAGTTGGCCAAAAAATCTGCATTTTTTCTGTCAAACTACCACCACCAACAATAACCTCCAGCCAAAAGAAAAATAACAGATGAGTATTCAAATTATCTTAGAATTATGCAAGTTGGTCTGACTCACTCCATTGAACATGATCATTTTTAGCCAAATTAATTCTATTTTGGAAATGTAAAATGCAAAATATAACCTTAACATTTTATACAAAACATTTTACCTCTTCCTCTGTCTCTTTGGGGATCATTTCAGAGAATGAAACTAACATTCGCTCAGTTGATCAAGCACAAAACAGAGATTACTGATTGTCCTTCTTCTCTCCATTGATATCCAATCTATTAGCAAGATGTTTAGAGTCTAGCTTCAGAATATCCCAAATCCAACCACTTTGCCCCATATTTCCACTACTACTGTAGTCCAGGCCTCCCAACTGACCTCCCTGTAGTCTACTCTCTATAAAATTGCTTAGAATGATCTTTTAAAGGGTAAGCCATACTTCTCCTCTCCCTAGAGTCATACAATGAAAACTTATTGCAATTAGGTATTATGTAAGTCCCATAGTATTCAATCTATCTCAGCTCCAGCCTGCTTCCTGAACATAGCACAGAATACCATACCCTGTGTTTATCATCCTCTAGCTGCTTCTTCTGTTTTTTTTTTTTTTTTTTTTTTTTTTTTCTCTGTAACAGATCCAAGTCACTACTTAGGGATTTCTCACTAGTTACATAACTGACTCCCAACAAAGAATTGTCTTTTATGGTAGCAAGAGAAATATTAGTTAGGATTATTCCAGGGAATAAAAGGTTGTGAGACAGTGGTTTATGTTTATCTGTCCTGGCAGAATCCTCACTCATCTCTCTCCTCCAGGTAGACAGAGCACAAAATTCAGGTATGCTTCAAGGAGGAACTGCATCTATTCACTCACTTTTATTCTTAGATACTTGTTTGCTAACTCTATATAACACAAGATGGAAACATCTGCAAACCAAGGATGCTGTAGTTCTCATTAGTCTTTCCACTCAGACCAACCATTTATGAACTGGCCAAGCTCAACGATAATAAGCTTTTTATTTATTTGTGTGTGACGGTGTGTTTGGGTTGGTATGTGTGTGTGTGCGTGCATGTGTCTTATGTGCATCTATTCTGCATAAAAATTTCTTTAGATCAGCAACAATATCTCATAAACCTCTGTCATTCCTTCACCCATAACCTTTCCCTACCATAGCATCTATGTTAGCAGGTGCTCAATAAATACTGATTAAAATTTGATTTATTGATTTCCCTCCAGAAAGTGCTGCCCAGGACTGCCAGAAATGTTAGGTTTGGAAATGAAAATCTATTATCTGTCTGATTGAGTGCCTTATGTCAAAAAAATGGAAGTTGAAATAAACATTATGGCTAGAGTTATATACCAAGTCTCCCTAGACTGCAAATTAAACTATACATATAAATTATCTTATTTTTGCCTTGAGAATTGAAAAAGAGATCCCAAATGAAATGACAATTTTGACAAAGAAGTCTTTTGTTACAACAGATTCTGCCATGAGTAGTCCCATTTTCCAGTAACTCAGTCATTTTATGTTAATATTTTTGCTTTATTCTTTGAATAATTCTAATGGAACCTGTATGTATTGGTCAATTTTTATGCTGCTGATAAAGACATACCCAAGACTAGGCAATTTAGAAAAAAAAAAAAGAGATTTATTGGACTTAGAGTTCCACGTGGCTGAGAGGCCTCACAATCATGGTGGAAGGTGAAGGCACATCTCACATGGCAGCAGACAAGAGGGCTTGTGCAGGGAAACTCCCACTTTTGAAACCATCAGATCTTGTGAGACCCACTCACTATCATGAGAACAGCATGAGAAAGACCCACCCCCATGATTCAATCACTTCCCACCAGGTTCCTCCCACAACACGTGGGAATTATGGGAGTTACAATTCAAGATGAGATTTTGGTGTGGACAAAGCCAAACCATATCAATGTACATTTTAAATGAGAAAAATAATAATTGTCTTCAGAGTATATCATTTACCTTTGAAACTCAAAATAATTTCCATTCCAATATCTTCACTAACAGACAAAATAATTAGTGGTTCTAATAGTTCATTTGTGTTTGGTTTGCAAACCATGAAAGCAACATGATATGAAAAACCACTATAGATTTTGCAATAGGTTTAGCATAATAACAAGCATTGTTTATCAAGAAACTATATACAAAATATTTTCCTATGAACTATAGTTCATTCTGATGAATTGACTATAATAATATATGTATATAAAAAAGGAATGAAGACTGGACACGGTGGCTCACAGGTGTAATCCCAGCACTTTGGGAGGCTGAAGTGGGCAGACTGCTTGAGCACAGGAGTTCAAGATCAGCCTGGGCAACATAGTGAGACACTTGTCTCTACAAAAAATACAAAAGTTAGCCAGGCATGGTGGCATACACCTGTAGTCCAAACTTACTCTGGCGACTGAGTTGGGAGGATCACTTGATCCCAGGGAGGGCAAGGCTGTAGTGGGCTGTGATAGCTCCACTGCACTCCAGCCTGGGTGACAAAGACCCTGTCTCAAAAAACAAAAAAAGAGGAATGAAATGATGGATCTAGTATCCTGTCATCCTTATTTTTTTTCAATATTTAATGCATATATTTGTGTCCTTAGATCAAACCTTAAAGAATATTACTTAAATTATTATTGTATATCACTTAAATTATTATAGTATTATTTTGTGTTTTATAAACTATCAAAACATTCATTCCTTAATGTAGCATTTTATTCAAAATTAATAGAAATTTAATCATAAAATTTTTTTTCAATTTTCACAGAAATATTGACTTTAATATTTCTGAAAAAAATCTGAAATGAATAATGACAGTGTAGTATCAAAATTTCTAAATAGCAAATAACTAACTTCAAGGTCCGTAACTCAAGCAAAACTGAGAAGTGGGTGAGATTTTATTCATATGACAACTCTTTTTAAAGCATCTATTATTGCTTTCTAGCACAGTACCAGTGGCGGGGGACATGTGAGGTTACAGCTGCTGGGAAGAGAAAACACAGTTGGTCTCAATCCACACAGAATTTATAATTGACTGCACGTAGAGACAAAGACCATGAAATTGTCAGGGATAGGTGTTCAGGCTGGGATGCAGTACAATCAGCCACAGGATCAATGGCAACCTATCACCCAGAGGGAGCAGGTGCAGAAGCATCAAGAGGAGCAAAGAGGGCAATTTTTAAGGAGGTGAAAGTAGTTCCGGGAGGCTAACGCAGAGAGCAGGGGAGTTAGGTCCGTGGAAGTGAAGAGTAAAGGAATGCTACTGCTGAGGTCAGTTTTCAGCATCCTTAATTACCCTTTTGTAGACTTTATAGAAATTATTATAGCGACTGTTCCTCTGGCATTCTGGGTTCAGATTCAGGTTGAACCACATAAGTACTGACTCAACCTGAATCTCTGCTCCCATCTACCAAGGATGTAATCCTCTGTAATCCCGTTTAACAGACTGGATTAGAAGCTTTGCTTTGAAATTTTACTTACAAATTACAAATTTTCATCCAAATTAAAATCTTAATGATCTTTGTATAGAGAAAACTTAGCATTCAAACGGCCTCCTAGTTCTAATAAATAAAAAACTTCCATTGGGATAATTATTTTTATTTATGGTGGTGAAGATCTTATGCCCAGAGAGAAAGGAAATACATTAGAAATAAAAATAAAGAAAAGAAATAGAAGCTATTATCTCAAGAAATAATAAAATCTAAAAGATCTTAGTAAGTTGGGACTCAATAACACTTTTAACTTCTCAAAGCAAATAATTTCTCCAGTAGTAAAGCTAAAACCAGAAATTACAACAGGTCCCAAAATTAGGTTCAAAGCTAAGATGTAATCCAGTGGTGTTTCTAACCACAGTAGCACAAATATAAAAGTACCACCAAAGATATCAACAAAATAATAATAATAATAATAATAATAATAAACTCAGAAAGCCCATCTTCTCTCCCTTTACAGAAAGGAACCAGTGTGACTCCATTTTATATTAGTAAACGTTTAACAAAGTAAAGAGAAAAAATTCATTCAAAGTAAAGAGAAAAGTAAAGAGAAAAATTCATGCTTGGAGAGCAGAGCATGAATGAGTCTCAGGAGACTTCCCTCACTGTCAGAGCAGAAAAACTTCAAAAATTATCTGTCCTAAAGGATTCTAGTATTTCTGCAGACAAGTTATTTTTAAATTGACAAATAAAATTTATATATACTTGCCATATACAACACATTTTGAAATATGTATACACTGTGGAATGGTTCAACTGAGCTAATTAATATATGCGTTACCTCACATACTTATTGTTTTTTGTAGTGAAAACACTTAACATGGACTCTTAGAGATTTTCAAATACAATACATTGTTATTAACTATAGTCCCATGCTGTTGAAATTATTCCTCTTACTTAGCTGACATGTTGTGTCCTTTGACCAATATCTCATAGAAAGATTAGTGATCATTGTGTGTCATCCAGCCTTCCATTTTATTAATGGTAGATATATTTTTCTTTCCCCTGCCCCACCATTTAGGTTAGGGGCATGTATGGATGCAGATGGGGTGTGGGGAGACCTTGTCTTTTTAGTTTCTATGTCACTAGACCAAGTGGATGCATTTCCTGACTTGAGGGTTCTTCAACTTGGAATTCAGTGATTTACGATTGAACTCCTTGGACAACAAGGTACATTAAATGTGGAAAAGAGATATTTGATAACTAGAAGTTTGAATGATGGTAGAGACTTCTGGTGCTCACCAAATAACACTGTGCTTGTCTACATCTCCCAGCTTCTCTTGCAGTTAGGTGTGGACCACATGTCCAAATTCTGGCATTTGGGATTGGGGCAAAAGTGATGTATGTAACTTTTAGGCCTGGCCCTTAAAAACATCCTGCACAGAAAGACTTCACAAAGTTATTTCAGCTGGATCACAAAACAAATACACAAATGACCAAAAACTAAACAACAATAACAATAGCAAGGTGGAGAAATCAGTATCCAGAGTTGCTATGATGTTATTATCTAAGACATCTAGTTATCAATGTAAAATATATAAAAAAATAAACAGGTGAGTGAGATCCACAAATGTAAAAATTATCAACAAAATATTAGCAAACTGAATCTGGCTAGATAGGTAAAAAGGATTATACATCATAGCCAAGTGAGATTTTTCCCAATAACACAATGTTAGTTTAAAATCCAAAAATCAATTGATGCAATACATCATATTAATAGAATAAAGAACAAAAACCATATGATCACCCTGCATAGATGTAGAAAAAGCATTTGACAAACTCCAACACTTTTTATAATAAAAATGCTTACTAAACTAGGAATAGAAGGAAACTTTCCCAACTTGATAAAGAGCATCAACACAAAATCCACTGCTAACATTATGTTAAAGATGAATTGCTGAATACTTTTCCCATATGATCAGGAATAAGACAAAGATGTCTCTTTCACCACTTCTACTGAACATTTTACTGAAAGTTCTGGACAGAGCAAATAGATAAGAAATAGAAATAAAATAAACCCAGGTTGGGAAAAAAGAATAAAACTATTTTTATTGGCAGATGACATAATCTTGTATTTAGAAAATTCTAAGGAATCCACTAAAAAAATTATGGCTAATAAATGAATTCAGCAAGGTTTCAGGGTAGATGATAAATATGCAAAAAATAATCATATTCTATATACTTGCAATGAACAATCTAAAAATACAATTTAAAAATAATTAAATTTACAATAGCACCAAGACGAATAACATACTTAGGAAAGAATTTGATGAAAGAAGTGCAAGAAATTTACACTGAAAACTACAAAACATTGTTTAAGAAACAAAAGGCCTAAATTAATGGAAAATCATCTTATGTTCGTTGTTCAGAAGACTTAATATATTTTACATGTCAATATTCCCAAGAGTATTCTACAGATTGAATGTAATCCCTTTCAAAATTTCACCTGACTTTTTTGCAAATTTTGACAAGCCAATCTTAAAATTAATATGAAAATCCAAGGGACCCAGAATATCCAAAAGAGTACTGAGAAGAAGCACAAAGTGGAGAATTCACAGTTCTAAATTTCAAATTCACTACAAAGTAACAATAATCAAGACAATGTAGTCTTGGTAATAATAGACATATAGATCAATAGGACAGAATTCAGAGTATGGAAATAAGCCTTTACCCTTATGGTCAATAGATTTTGAAAAGAATGTGAAGACAGTTCAATGAGTATATGGTACTGAAACAACTAAATATTCAAATACAAAAAAAATAAGTTTGGACCCCTACTTCACACCATACCAAAAAAATGATTCAGAATAAGTCATAAATCTAAATGTAAGAGCTAAAATTGTATGTTTCTTGGAAGAAAGCATAGGAGTAAATCTTTGACCACGAGTTAGGCCAAAATTTCTTACATAGGATACAAAAAGCATCAGCAACAAAAGCAAAAATAGAATTAGACTTCATTAAGGTTGAAAACTTTTGGGCATCAAAGTATATCATCAAGAAAGTGAAGAGACTACTCACAGAATAGCACAAAATATTTGCAAGACATATATCTAATAAGTGACTTGTATCCAGAATTATAAAAGAACTCTTATAACTCAATACTTAAAAAGACAAAAATCCCAATTAGATAAATAAACAAAGGATTTGAAGAGGTGTTTCTCCAAAGAAGATACACAGATGGACAATGATCGCATGAAAAGACATCCAAATCATTGCTATCATTACTCATTATGAAAATGCAAATCAAACCCACAATAAACTATTACTTCACACCCACTATGATGGCTTTAATAAAAAAGGCAAGAAGAAATTTTGGTGAGAATGTGGAGAAAAAGGAACCTTTATTCATGCTGGTGGAAATGTAAAAATAGTGCTGTTACTTTGGAAAACAGTTTGGTGGTAACTTTGCCTCCAAATTTAAGAATAGAGTTACCATATGCCCCAGCAATTCCACCCTTAATTGTATGCATGAGAGAAATAAAAACATATATCTACACAAAACTTACAGATAGTCATTGCTGCATTATTCATAATAGCCAAAAAGCATAAACAACTCAAATGTCCATCAGCTAATGAACGGATACAGAAAAGGTGGTATATTTATACAATGGAATATTATACAGTAATAAAAAGGAATGAAGTAGTTTTACATGATACAATATCAATGAACCTTGAAAACATTATGCTAAGTGAAAGAAAATTCACAAAAGGTATGAAATCATATAGTGCAATTTCATTCACATGAAGTGTCCAGAATAGGTAAATCATAAAGATAGAAAGTAGATTAGTGATTGCTCAGGGGTAAGAGGAGGGGATGGGGGCAGAATGAAGCCAACACTTATAGAGTTTCTTTTAAGGAATAAAAATGTTCTGAAATTAGATTAATGATTGCACAACTATAAATCAGTGAATTGTACACTTTAAATGGGTGAATTGTAGGGTATGTGAATAATATCTCAATAAAGTTATTAAAAGAAAAAGAAAAATAGGTCTGGGCATGGTGGTTCACGCCTGTAATCCCAGCACTTTGAGAGGCCAAGGCAGGTAGATCACCTGAGGTCAGGAGTTCGAGACCAGCCTAACCAACATGGTGAAACCCCCTGTCTCTACTAAAAATACAAAAAATTAGCTGGGCGTGGTGGCGGGCTCCTGTAACCCCAGGTACTCAGAGGCTGAAGGAGAATCACTTGAACCTGGGAGGCAGAGGTTGCAGTGAGCCAAGATCGCACCATTGCACTCCAGCCTGGGCAACAAGAGCAAAACTCTGTCAAAAAAAAAAAAAAAAAAAAGGAAAGCAGAGAGAAGGGAAGGGAAGGGAAGCAGAAGGAGAAGGAGAAGGAGGAGAAGGAGAAGAGAGGGAGGGAGGGAGGGAGGGAGGGAGGAAGGAAGGAAGGAAGGTCGGTCCAGATCCCACCTAATCCTCCAGCCCTTTGTTGTTCTATACAGCAGCAATCCCCAATCTCTTTGGCACCAGGTCCCAGTTTTGTGGAAGACAATTTTTCCACAGATGAGAAGGAATGATTTCAGGATGAAACTGTTCCACAGATCATCAGGCATTAGATTCTCATAAGAAACTCACAGTCTAGATCCCTCACATACACAGTTTATAATAGGGTTCCAGCTCCTATGAGAATCTAATGCTACTATTGACAGGGGGTGGAGCTCAGGTGGTAATATTTGCACATCTGCTGCTCACCTCCTGCTGTGCAACCCAGTTTCTAACAGGTCACGGACTGGTACCAGTCTACTGCCCAGGGGCTGGGGACTCCTACTACAGGGAATCCTTAGAGGTTATTTGCTATACATAAATTAAGAGATAGGATATTAGTGCATTTAGCTGTGATGTGAATAGCCAATAAACCTTTACTATGTCAAATACTTAAGGTTTTATGGATATTTGTTAATACAATTGTTGCCTATTTTATCTTAGCCTATTCTGTCTAATACAGAATTACAGTATTTTAGAATTAGAATTATAAATTATCTATTCATCAATTATATTTTAACTGAAATAACAGTATATAGAAGGAAAATCCCAACAATTTTAGCTTTCTTAAGTATCATGGATGAATCTTATATTCATAAACATTAATTCAGAACCTCTAACAGTCCAGCATTGAACATAATATACTTCCTGCAGTTCTATTTGGCAATAATTCTAAGATTATCATTTTAAATTCATAAAATATCAAGGTCCCTGAACCCAATTTTTGTCATTAGGACAGTGCTCTCATGAACATCTTCCTCAATGCCTATAAAACAGCAAATATGTGATAGCTATATTTTAAATGACTAAAGTTAAAACATGCTTTCTTTAATACATCTTCATTTAATAAGGTAGAGAAAAGATGTAAATATTTAATAAATATAAAAATGCTTCTAGTTTATAGTAATGGTAGATTTCAAAATATTATGTATACAGTTAGGATGAAATGGGGAGAAAAACCAGTTTGCTCTGTAACTTTCAATAAGCATGTATTCAGTATTTATAAAGATTACAGATGTAGCTTGGTATTAAGGCAAATTCAGTGAAAGAAGGAGTCTTTACCCAGTTCAGAAAAGAGTGTTAAATTCATGAAATAACAAGGAGATTTTTTTCATGACCTTTACATTGACAATACAGCATACAATCACTGAAGGAGTGAATTGTGAGTGGACTTCTGCTTCTGCATTGGATGCTGAAAGCTTCAAAGAATCTCGCCTCTGTGTAACAATGTGAAAAAAGCCAGATGATATTCATAACTTTCCTTGAGTGTATCAGAGACCTGAAGTTGTAAAGCCACCGAGTAACCTGGGTAACAAAAAAAGCCAAACCTCTCCAAAAGGAGAGGAAACACATGTAACATTTTATTTTTGTCAGACTACAGGAGAAATCAGTAACCTCTGTAAACCCCATAAAGGGAAACCCACATTTTAAGAAATGTGAAAGGCAGTAGACTGGTACCAGTCCGTGACCTGTTAGAAACTGGGCTGCACAGCAGAAAGAGTATGACACTGAACACAACCTGGATCTACAGAAAGAAGTGAAGAGGATCAGAAAAGTAAAAATAGGGTAAATAAGAAAAATATTTCGTGTGTGTGTGTGTGTGTGTGTGTGTGTATTAAGAGACAAGGTCTCACTCTGTCACCCAGACTGGAATGCAGTGGTACAATCATAGGTCACTGCAACCTCAAACTCCTGGGCACAAGTGATTGTTCCACGTCAGACTTCTGAGAAGCTAGGTGCAGCCCAGCTATTTTTTTTTTTCTTTATTTTTGTAAAGACAGGGGCCTCACTCGGCTGCCCAGGCTGGTCTCAAACTCCTAGCCCTCAAACTCCTGGCCTCAAGCAACCCTCCCACTTTTTCCTAATTTGTAATTGCTGTAAAAGAAAATTCACTATCTAGAACAAAAATAGTAACAATATGTTGTGAGGTTTAAGACATAAGTAAAAATGCCATGTATGACAACAGTAACAGTGACGGCAGAAAGAACTGGAAGTACACTGTTGTAAAGGTGGTTGTACTATATAGAAAGTGGCATAATATTATTCAAAAGTGATTAAGTAAAGATACATATTGTAAACTCAAAGGAAACCAATAAAAAATTAATGAGTAAACTGAAAATAACTTTTTTGAAGAGGGTTCTTTTAAAGAAATTGGTAAATATAAATAGGCACAGAACGGTTCTTAAGGATTATTATAGAGTGAGTGAATCTCACTTCTACAATAAAATGGTGCACTGGGGAGCAATCCAGCAGTATTTCAAGGGGAAGATACATTCCTAAATAATCTCTGGCTAAGAGAAAAAAAAATCAAAGAGAAAGAAAACTAGTAGAAATTACTTACACTTATTTTCTTAATTTATGAAACAAGATTCCATTAAAAAACTTTAAAAATGTTTCACTAGGTACTTGAGAGACATTTCTACTTTTTTTTTAAACAGGCAAATTTAAACATGAGTATGTATTTTTTTCTAAATAGAAAACTTTTAATCAGAGTTCCCTAAGGATTAGTGCTAGGAGCATTAGATAAAACATTTCATCTAATGTTTTATAAATGGGCTGAGACAAATGCAGCCAAAACACTTAAGTCTGCAGAAAGAGAAAAAAACTTAACATGGACAAGCCAACTCAGTTGGGGCAAATGTCAAGAAAATGTGATATGTTCTTTAAGTTAGCAAATAGGCTTCAATTAACTTTAAAGTAGCCATGTGTTTCTTTCCAAAGTAATTTAAATTATGTTGTACAGTGATAATTTCTGAATTGGTAGTTACATTACCCTGAGTGGTAACATAGATATTTGGTCTTTGTCCCCTGTTCCTGGCACGGAGCTCCTAAAGCTTTTGGAATTTCCTGAGTGTTAAAGATGATGGAAGTATCTTTTGTAGTAATAAGGTGACTCTTTGTGGGCCCCTAGATAGCTTCAGGATGAGGGAGCTGGTTGCCAGAAATACCAAGCCTTGATTAGAAGTTTGGAACTCTCAGCCCCACCTCAAACTTTCTGCCAATGGCCAATGAATCATGTGTAAGTAATAACTTTCCATTAAAATCCCTAAATGCTGGGGTTTGCAGAGCTTCCATGTTGGCGAACACATGGAGTTACTGGGAGAGTGGCATGCCTAGAGAGAGTATGGAAGCTCCTGCCCCTTGTCCCATACTTGCCCTACATATCTCCTCCCTTTGGCTGTTTTTGAGTTGCATCCATCATAATAAACTGGTAATAGTAAGTAGCATTCTTTTGAGTTCTATGAGACATTACAGCAATTTATTAAACCTGTGTAAGATGTCGTGGGAGCCTGCAATTTGTAGCCCGTTGATCAGAAATACAGGAAGCTTGAGGCTTGCAACTGGCATCTGAAGTGGGGGGCAATCTTGTAAGACTGAGCCATTAACCTGTGGGGTCTGCACTAACTCCAATAAATTAAAGGCACAATTGAATTGAATTGTTGAACACCCAGTTGGTGTCCAGAGAATCAAAACTGGATAAGTGTTATTAAAGAAGACATCACACATATTGCACCAGACCTTAGAAGACATCCAGACAAAATATTAAAAATTATCCTAATGTATCATCAGGAAATTTTTCACAAACTATTTGAGAACAGAATAATCTTTTTCAGTTTTATATCCTGGCAAACTGACTAGCTAATAAAGTATGCAATATATGTTTATAAAGATGAATTTTGTCTGTTGAATTGAGCCTAATGAGTTTAAAAATCCGATTTCTGATCAATATTATGTAAAGAATTAGAAAAAATGTAAAAGTCTTATAGGGTTTGTAACAGGTGAAGACTTCAAATGTAATATGTAAGATAATGGGTGTTCTATTTCAAGGAAAACAGTATAGTTGGAAAAGTTTTGGAAAAGTATGATTAATAATTATATTAATAGATTTTTTACTGACATCAGCTATAAAAAGCAGTCTTCAGTTTTAAATGTTGAAAGTAGAAAAGTTTTGGATGGTGAATTATTTAAGCAAGCCAAATTGAAAACATTAGCATTGGTAAAAATTTATTAAAACTTGAATCAAGTAATTTTATAATAAAGTGACAGGATATAGATAATCAAATATCACTATAATTCTGTACCCTTCACTCCTGTGGTAAACAGAATTGTAAGATCTCAAAATTCTTGCCCTGACCCCCAGCATAATGCTCCTGTTGATTCTTCCCTTGAATGTGGGTGGAAGCTGTCAATATGATGGGATATTACTCTCTGTATTAGGTTACACAAAAGTGAAAAAATACTGTGTGGCAAAAGTGCAAAAAAAGAAAATCTTTTTGTCGTTGTTTTTTTTTCCATTGCACAATTTGTTTACTTATTTATTTTAATAACTTTTTGGGAGCAGTTTTAGGTTTACAGAAAAATTGTGATAAAAAGATCAGATAGGTTCCCATATACCCCCTTCATCTGCCCACACAGTTTCCGCTATTATCTTATCTTTTATATCCTACATCTTACATTAGTGTGAGGCTTTTGTTACAATTGATGAGCCAATATTGATATTTATTAACTAAAGTCCATAGTTTACCCCTCTCCTCATCTCTCAATTCTGTTCTCGCCTTCTGGAACTATTAGTCTATTAGTCATTTATTTTACCTACTTATGGGTCTATTCTCCATATTCTTTAACCTTTTCATCCCCTTTCACCATCATCTCCTCTTTATATCTGTTTTAAATTTTTTATATTTATTTTAAGTTCTGGGGTACATGTGTAGGACGTGCAGGTCTGTTACATAGGTCAACATGTGCCATGGTGGTTTGCTGCACCTATCAACCCATCACCTAGGTATTAAGCCCAGAATGCATTAGCTATTTTTCCTGATGCTCTCCCTCCCCCAACCCCACCCTCTGACAGGCCCCAGTGTGTGTTGTTCCCCTCCCTATGTCCGTGTGTTCTCATTGTTCAGCCCTCACTTCTAAGTAACAACATTCAGTGTTTGGTTTTCCGTTCTTGCATTAGTTTGCTGAAAACAATGGCTTACAGCTCTATCCATGTCCCCGCAAAGGACATGATCTTGTTCCTTCTTATGGCTGCATAGTATTCCATGGTGTATATATACCACATTTTCTTTATCCAGTCTATCACTGTTGAGGATTTGGGTTGATTCCCTGTCTTTGCTATTGTGAATAGTGCTGCAATGAACATACGTGTGCATGTATTTCTGTAATAGAAAGATTAATAATCCTTTGGGTATATATGCAATAATGGGATTGCTGGGTCAAATGGTATTTCTGGTTCTAGATCTTTGAGGAATCACCACACCATCTTCCACAATGGTTGAATTAATTTACATTCCCACCAACATCTCCATAGCCTCTCCAGCATCTGTTGTTTCTTGACTTTTTTAGTAATTGCCCTTCTGACTGGCGTGAGATGGTATCTCATTGTGGTTTTGATTTGCATTTCTCTAATAATCTGTGATGTTCAGCTTTTTTTCATATTGTTTGTTAATCTTAATTAGGGTCTCAGATAAGTTGGTTCTCACTTAATTGAAAGAGAAATTATTCTGAATGGGCTGGTCTTAATCAAGTGAAAGTCCTTAAAAGAGGGCTTGGGCCCTTCCAGAAGAGAAAGGGGTCTCCTGCTGGCCTTGAAGAAGTGAGCTGCTATGTTGGGAGAGGCCAAATGAAGGTGCAGTGAGAAGGGCAAAGAATAGGGAGTGACCTCTCAGAGCTGACAGCAAGAAATCAGGACCTTAGTCCTGTAACTACAAGGCACTGAATTCTGCTAACAACTGAAAGAGAACACCAAGCTCCAGAAGGGAACACAGCCCAGCCAAACTTGACTTCAACCTTGTGAGATTCTGAACCGAGGATCCAGCTAAGCTGTGCCCATGCTCCTAACCCAAAGAAATTGAGATAACCAAGTATGTTTTAACAGTTGCTAAATTTGTGGCAATGTGTACACAGAATTAAAAAGTAATATCCCACCACCACCACTACCAGAGACAAGAAAAACAAAACACAAAGGAACTTGCAGATTCATACAGAGAGTCAAGGAAGCTGGCCAAATCCTGTTTAGGGCCTGGGCTATCTCTGGAAATATGAAGGGCTGTGTATGCAGAGCTCAGCTTTTTGTACCTGGAAGGTGACAATGACTGACTTTTCCGAGATTTTCTTTTGTATGAGTATGCAAAAACACATTTAGAAAAATTTAATTCATCAATTTAATACTATTTTGCTGGAAGGCATCAAGGTTCTGACTTGACTTTTTCCACGGGAAGCAACTTCATTTCTCTACTGGAGCAGCACCATAGTTCTGTCTATTTTCTGAGAACCCACCTGCTTTCAGGTCATTCATTTCTTGTGAATGATTTAAAGGTATAAATGTTTCTAACCCCAGGCTGCTTTCTCTGTCAACTTTCATCAAAGTTCCTAAGACATCTCCACTGCCCACAAACCTCTGCAAGCTAGAATGTAGTAATGAAGATGAATTTATCAAATTCTTTTCCACTAAAAGAGGTATTACCTGCCCATACTGCCTTTGCTATTTTCAACAGCCCTACCAAATTCTTAGAATGGCTTATTTGGTGAACACCTTTGGAATACTCATAGTCATACAATTCTTTGGAAAAGTTGTGTAGATTTGTTATTAAAATTGACTCTAAGTCTACCAGCACCAACCTTCAGCATCACATATTCCCCAGCATCTAGACAAACATCATTATCTCTAAATTTCTGCTTCTAGTTCTCAGTACTTCATTTCAGTGGTCTTCAAAGTTTTTGCCTACAAAACCCCCTTAAAAAGTTATGTACCCCTTTGCATATTATACGTTGACATCTAAACTCTTATTAATATGTATGTCAATAGTTTCAAATAATATAATGTCCAGTGTGTTATATATTGTATAGTTGCTTTAAGTATATGTTTGTAAAACATTGGAGAGAGAGAGTCTAGAATGTTCCAGAACTTTGTCTCCTGAATGTCATTCTGATTATTTTTATGGCAGCTTTCTTTGCTTTGATCTGCAGGGGTTGTTTCTCGGAACTATGCATTCTCAAGTTATTTTTGTGTATGGATTACCTCAAAGTCAACCTTGCAGGACATCCCAGACCTCCTGCTGCTGGACTTTTTCCTCAAGTTCTTTTCCCTGCCTGACATACTTTGGCAAATCTTCCTTACTACTACACATACATTCCTCTGTTTGAGTCCACTTTTAGTTTATCTTGCCCAGAGAAATTGAAATTTATCAATTTTCATTCATAATAATTCACTATCCCTCAAAATCGACTTTCTGAAATTAGCACGCAAAGCCCTCAACTTTGTGCTTTCTCTGCATCTTCACCCTTGTGGCTGATGACTGCAGAGAAAATTGTACAGCCTTGCAGGTCAGCCCTATAAACTCATTATCTCCAGATACCAGGCAAATCATTCTATTTCCCTACTCAGCGATTTTCTACTCTCCAGAGGAATATTTAAAATGTAGCCCACTCTTGTTGACTTCTAGAACTTTTATACATGCTACCAATCTAACACAATACAGAAATTTATTGAGTTTTTCACCTTATATTTCTCTTTCTTTCTAATGTCTTTCCACTTTTTTCTACTGTCATTGTCACTGCCTCAATCTATCTGAGTGGTCTTTAAACTGGTGTATATATATTCCTGAGGGCATACAAATCCTTCCAAGTTGTACTTGGAAAAAGATTTTAGATAATTAACTTAAGATACATTTATCTTCAGCTCTATCTTCAGACACAAGTGCAGGCTCTACTTTCCAGCTCCCTCTTTCCTAGTTACCTTCCTCTTATTTTACAGAAGAAAGACATACTTCTCACCCACCCAAAATTTAATGTGCATTGATTGAGCATGTAAACTCTTTGGGAGCACCAAACAAAAAGATAACTGATATAAATGTTGAGAAATACTGGTATGGCTATTGAGAAAGTGAATGGCTAGCAACTAAATTATTTCGTAAGTCAAGCAATTTCCATTTCTTTGCATTCAACAAAATTAAGTTTATTAAAGATAATTTTTGACAATAGATCAAATTCAAAACAGAATTAATATTAAACTCTGTCTAATTTTGGCAATAAGTAACATTCTCCCAAAGGTAGAGGGATTAAAATTTTAAAAGCCCGTCTGTTACATTAAGCTATACATTGCCAATAAAGTTGTACTTCTTTTGTCAGTAACAATTTTTTCAGAATTTGAAATGTAGTTATATAGATTTATTCAAGTGTTCAATAATAAAAATTTTATTGACAACTCATTCTAGAAAAATAATTAACACTTAAAACCTTATAGGAAATGTTTAAAATTAAATTATAACCATTTTATAACTAAAATGCATTATTAGATAATTAAATACTTTTGAGCATATGATATATAATAAAAGAGTGAAATCCATGAGAATGAAAATAGAAATTAAAAAGAAAAAAATGGCACAAAATTTTTAGAGTTGTGCAAGAGATATATCAAATATTTTTAAATAGATAATGACGAGCATTGAATCTCGGTATTATTCAGACTCTAATGGATACTATTAAGAGTAATACAACAGACAATTTAAAATGGCAAAATTTACAATATGCTGAAAATTACATTTTGCAACGGTTTAAACTTATGATGAATGTTTATGTCAATTCACAAGTATATGAGATGATATACAATTTTACAAAATTATTTTGGGAGTGTTTGAGGAACAAAGTTTGGTAACCACTAGACTAGGTCATTAGTATTTCTATCCAAGGTTACTGCACTACCCTCTAGTATTCTTTCTGCTTCACAGTCATGCCTCACTCAAAAATGTTTTCACAACAGTAGCCAGAGCTTTCTTGCAGACAAAAATTCAATCAAGTCACTTGTCTTCTTAATACAATCTAAGGGTCTCTCATTGCCTTCCCTATCACCTCCCCAGTGACACATTGCCACTGTTCCCCTATACCAGCACCCTCCGAGTACTGAACTACAGGACTTTTCAGCCCTCTTGCCTCTGGGCTCGTTCTCAAATTCCTCTTCTTTCTTGACTCCCTGACTCCTCTGGGCTATCTTCCTCCACTTTTTCTCCTTCCGCCATCTGCTCTTCTGATTAGCTCCTAATTATCACTTAGGTCTCAATTCTGAAATCAGTTGCTTTAGAATATGTTCCTTGGCTCTCCTACTCTGAGTTAGAAATCCTCTTCTTATGTTGTCATAGCACATAACTTCCAATTTAGAATGAGAAATGTTAACGGAAGTGAAAAGCTTTCACTTGCTGATCTGCCTTTGGCTCCTTAAATCCTCATATTTTAAATGGTTAGACATTTGCATGACAGTCTTTTTTTTCTTTTCTTATTTCTCCAGCTAGTTTCTGATCCAAGTTTAGAGACACAGAGTCTTGACTTAGAGACTTAAGGTAATTCACATCTTTAAAAAACCATGACCAAACTTTTAAATCTAGAAATATGAGATGAGATGAAACTAAATATGAGAATGTGGGAATAACTAATTATTCCCCCATGTTGTGTCTTGAATAAATCTTTATTCTTCAGGATTCAAAATAAATCAAACTTTCACCAAGAGTCAGTCTTTTCACATTCATCTAAATTCTCTCCCACTCACTTTTATCCCATGAGGAAATTCTATGCTCTTGCAATTTCCCTGTTAACATGTATGACAAGCTGACTTGTCATTTGCATATTTTTAATTTAATATGTGTATTTACCACTAGACTGTAAACTTCCTAAGTATAGATAGCATGTCAGCCTGTCTATTTACTTATCATTATATCCTTGAGAGATAGCATAGTACCTAGCATACAGTAGGAATGAGTTAAAGAATATTTAATAAAAATCTCTAAAATCAATCATTTTGATCTAGGATGCTGTAAAAGAAGTGTTGAAAAAAGCTGAGAAAATATTTGGAAAATTATTATAAATTTGGAGGTACAGGAAGCTTCATTCCGAGGCAGGTATACATAAACACATTTTTTCACTACTGAGGCATATGGTCAGTGGACTGTATATCTTCCTGCATTTTTTAAAGTTATTCAAAATAACTTGATATGATCAGAGCTGTTTAAACAAAAAGTAAGGGCAGAGGGGCTTGGGAAAGGAGACGGATAGAGCTAGAGAGGGAGCTAGACTAACTCCTGATATCAAAGCTATAGCCTTCATTGTAATTACCTATTTTATTGCCCAAGTTTCCCAATAGACTACAGTCTATAGGGGGAAAAAAAAGGATTGTATATCTCTTGTTTATCTTGTATATCTCTTGTTTATCTTGTATATCACTTGTTTATCACAGTGTCTTACAGATAGTGGGTGTTGAATAAATAAATGGTGAATGAGTTAATGAAGCCAGACTAAGACAATGTAAACATGACCATCACATGTTGGAAACAGTTTTGATGTCACAGATCAAATACAAAGGATGCCTTGGATTGAGCGTTCAGTTGAGTCTTTCACTAACTTTTCTCATGTGGGCAAGGTTCATTCAACAAAAATCCAGTCTTGGTCTCCTGTTCAATACTTTAGTTAATCCACTAATAATGGAGCCATTGATTTCACTTCAATTCTTTATGCTGAGGTTTTGAGCTCCATAGTCCTTTGAACATAATATTTTGGAATGCTTTCCACTTCTTCCTTCCCTCTTGCTCTTAGGGTCAATGGTTCAGACATTCAATTTTTTTTCAACCTTGATTTCACTCTGCTCAGGTCCTGTCATATCTGGTAACAAAACCTCCAGCAGTTAAGGCAAAGACAGAAAAAGTCAGCAAGAAATTATAAAACTTAATTTCTTACATATTGTTTTTCATACCAGGGCTGAAAAATACTGACAAGATGTCATGGAATATAAGTAAGTTTGAAGACAGGATAATGTTTATGTTAACGCAATGGAGAAAATACATTCCAATAAGTCCAGCCATTATTGAAAAACCTCAGTAACTATTTAGCAAGATCATTTGAAAAACTAGTAGATACTAGATCAAATTCTCTCAGGATAAAAAAAAAACTATGCAATAAGGATTATTTCTTGAAAAAACTGAGTGACTTAAAAAATAAATTTAGAATCATGAAAATTAATAAAGGAAGATTGTAAGAATAGAAATAATAGTAACTGAGATACATAAAGTTTTCACACAAAAGCAAACATTTTTTTCAGAGGTAGGAGAAGAGGGAATTCAAGACATGTAATAGGTTTTCTAGGCATAGTGATGGAACGCAAATATTGTTCTTCCTCATTTCTATGACATCAGCTGTTGAATCAATTTATTCTCAGATTTTGAAAAAAAATGCCATTGGGACATTAATTTTAGTAGTGGGAAAAATGTGCCATTTAGAATTGAGAGAATATGGCACTAAAAAAAAAAGGCAGCACACAAGATTCTTAAAATACTAATAAACATTTTTGGGTAAATGAATGATATGTAGGAAATCTGGTAAAGAGCTTGAAAGCCAAGCCACAGTCATACCAGGTACCTGAAAGAGCACTGGTCCCAGAGAGAGCCAGCCAAGTTTAAAACCAAGCATTGCTGATCAACCCAAAAGCCAACTTCTCTGAACGTTTCCTCATCTATAAAATAAGAAGAAAAATGGCTTTCATACCAACCTTAAGTATGGCTGAGTAACTATAAGGAAACCGAGGGGTTAATTTGATCGGGTCTGACAGCCCTGTTTGCTTTCACTGACTTGCTTTTTGTTATTATTATTATTCTTTTTCTTTTTTCCATGAAGCTGAAAGCCACTGTAGCTGAAGGCCTCTCTGCTGAATGCTGAAACTTAACCTTCACTGGTTACTTTACAGACAACATCCATTGGTCACCATGGTAATGGTTGATTTATTTGTTTTTCAAGAACTTGGGCCAGCTCCTGTCCAGTTCAAGCCAGTTGAGACCACCTAGCCTTCAACTTGGAGCCTGTACAGGCACCGGAAAGATGTCCTTTTCACCTCAGAGGGCCCAAAACTTGACCCTCAGATTATGCTAATGCTGCCATTTTCTGTACATATGTCCTATGAAATGCCATCAATCCTGACTATACTTGCACAGAATAAACCCATTACTTCATTTTTCCCCACTGCGAATCACCTTTCCCCATGCCTTAGACCACCCCACTTCCCTAACTCATAAATATCGCTAAGCCTTATCTTTGGGGAGGCAGATTTGAGAGGTGTGCTCCTGCCTCCTTGCTGGATGTCTGTGTGAATAAATTTCTCTTCTGCAAAACCCACGTCACAGTGATTAATTTACTGTGCATGGTCAGAATGGACCTGGACCTGGCTGGTAACAATAAGGGGAGAAAAAAGTATGAATAACAACTTTACAAATGTAGTTTTGTTGTTTTAACAAAAATGAGCATATAATTCTCTAGCAAGACTAACCCCAGAGAGGCTGAGAATGGCTGAAAGATAGATGTCCCAGCAGAGTCTCAAAATATGGATAAGACTTCCTTTTTGACTGCATATTTCATGCGGATTACCTACTCCTTTGTGAAATATGATTTAAAGCAAATACATGTGTGTGCACATGTGAGTGTGCACGTATATACTTTTTTCTAAACTAGGGCTTTCATCCCCAGTGCACTGGAAAAATGCCAGGACAATGAGAGGGAAAGAGAAAAGTGAAAAGAGTATATACAAACTAGAGACGAGAGTCACACCTATTTCTAAGCTCTAATTTTACTAAAATGTTATTTGATCTCAGAGCACATGGAAACTCTGTTACCACCTTTAATCCAGAGTCCCAATTACTACCACTATCAGAAGTCTACTCAAAGGCTTTGGAAAAGTCCTTGATTTGTAGCAAATGAAGGTTCACTGCACAGTAAATACAGTCCCAATCAGAATCCCAGCAGGAATACTTCCATTTCATGCCCTAAAATCTGAAAGTTATCTAGATGAAAGTAATTCCCTATTCAAGACAATTGGATGGAAATAAATCGTTTCGTGCCAATCAAATGGTTTTTGTAAACCTCAAAATGCCAAACAAACACCATTTATGCCAAGAAAATGGTATTTTAAATTTCAAAATGAAAAAGAATAAAATGGGGACTGATCATTTATAATTGGCTTAGATTTAGTACAGTAATAATGCAAAAATGAGTAAATATCCTTATCCACAACTCCCACTAACAATTAAAGAAACCCCTCAGATCACTTGGTACAAATCTACACCAACCATAATCTCATAGACAGCTGAAGAATACAAAAACTATTTATACTTATTCATCTAGTCATGCAACTTATAAAGACTAGCTCATATTTTAATATCATCGCTGAATAATTTTGTTTATGTCAGTTGAAATGGGAACAATAAAAGATTCAGACTGGGTCTGCATCTTCTAAAAGCTTTTTTTTTTAATGCAAAGAATGATAAAGGAACAGATGGAAGGCTTTAGCAAATCCATTTTGTTTTATAACATATAAAGGAATAGAGCTTTCAATAACTACTCACTCCTTTTACCAAAACTCCTTCTGGATAGCCCTGCAGGGCACTGTTTGGAATGCATCTAACATAATGGCTGAAAAGTAATGAATCAATTCAAATTCATATCTGAAAAATCAAGAGAAAGAAAAAATAACTGTGGCCTAGTCTATAGAAACTTCAAGCCAAATGAATGCAAGCTAACAGTCTTTAGAAAAATGTAAAATGAACAAAGATTTGTCATAAGTTAATTTCATAATGAGCAATATAGGTAGGTTTACAGGGCATGTCCATGGAAGGAGAGTTCAGGAAAAATTAGCAAATTGTTGGGTGCCTGTGTAAAAATCACAATTTCAAATTAAATAGAATTGACTCAACAAGCATAGATTATAATGCTAAAGATACAAGCATTTACAAATATACATCAATATCATTTTCTAAAGAGTTGATTGGAATTGATTCTTAACTACATATATGTATAGTACCCACATATATATATATAGATCTCACTAAAATAGTATTCTATGTTTCACAGAATACAGTGAGATATATATATTTGGTGAGATGCATATATACTGTATGTACTATATATATACTGTATGTACCATATATGTATCTCACTAAAATAGTATTCTGTGTCTCACAGGCTTTAAAAAAAGAGTCTTTTCCTTATTTGAATTTGTTTGGCTTTGGCTGCATATGGCATGCTGAGAAATTGAAAATCCTTATTTTAATAATACAAATCACTATTATTTGTTTAATATATTATTATACATTAGCAATTACTACAAAGGTAATTAAGAAAGTGTTGTTAGCATTCCATATTTTATGTAGACTCAGTCCCCTTAATAGAAATTCTTCAGATAGTTTGAGAATAAATTAGAGACCCTAATATAATGGCTAGCACAGTTACCTTTGTTTCTCCTAATCAATTACAACCAAGCTCCATGATTGCTATTAGGGGAATCAGAGGGTAGACTCGATTGGGGCATAATTATGAGTCAGTTTTGCAGGAATTGGTTGAGAGATTCACTATGATTTCCAAGCTATAATATGCTTCTTTTGGAGTCAGTCATTAATGTATTTATTACATTTGTTTATGTTTTACTTTCCCTGAATGACTAACTTTACATATATATTAATCAAATAAAATCACCCTTATTAATCAAGTATGTAGGTTTTCTTGTTGTTGCTAATGTTAAATTTACCTTCTTGGTCTTTACACCTTTTTTAAATAAGTGTAAAGATTATAAGCAGTTCAGGGAATATTTCACTTGTACTTCATGAGCAGTTTGACAATTGGTGAAGCCAGGTATTACTAATCCCCATTTTAATGATCAGTAGCCTGAAGCTTAGAGAGATTAAGCCATTTGTCTAAAATCTCAAGGGACTAAATTCAGGTTCTTCGGTTCTTAGTCCAGTGTTTGATGGTACAACCACACTAATATTTATTGATCCTTTTAACTCCACAGGAATGTTTTCTTTTGATAGTTCATTACCTTAGTAATTTGGATCTATCACAAATATGATTACATTATATTCTTATACTGTATTTGATTATTTTATTTAAGAGGGCAATTAATCCATAGGGAAAGAAGTGATTTTTCTCCTTTATAACCAGTCCCTACTGTTACTGGAAAAAAAAAAAAAAAAACACACCTGGTGCCCTAGAGTGTCTGAACTATAATATAAAACCATCATGTATAACTCAGTACAGTACAACTTCAGTAGGACTTACAACTTTGAGAAGACCTAAAGACCAAGTACCTTTGCTAGGAACCAGACATGTGACATGCATCCTTGAAAGGACTTGAAAAAAAATCAAAAGAGCATTTTCGAAATATCCTTCCTTCATTTTATTACATCTATATCGTTTTAAAAGAGAACTGAATGTGGTCATATTACTGTTTATTATAACTTTCAAAATAGTATCTGAATCTCTTGACTCATTCAAAACAAGTGAGGGGCTAGATGCTAACTCATACATTATTCACCTACTTAATTTTTCATTATATAAACACTAATACTTCCAAAAAAATTGTGACAGCTTACATAGTCAATAAAGCTTTCAACACAATAATAAATGAGGTAACAATATGAAAGGAATTAATAATCTAGCCTAGAGCACAGTACCATTTTTGCTAACATTAAACACTATAGGAATTTTGACTTAATATAAATGAAATTGGGGGAAATAGTAATTTAAAGGGAAGTAGAGAAGAGTATCAGATGCGTTCTTTATACATGAATCCTTATATGAATTCTGATGTCAAATCACAGCCTGGAGAATCCATTCTGTCAAGGCATAAAGCTGACTATTCCTAGAAAAAATATTTGTAGAGTTTAGAAACTCTAGAACAGGGGTCCCGAAACCCCAGGCTGCCGAGTGGTATGGGTCTGTGGCCTGTTAGGAAGGGGGCCGCACAGCAGGAGGTGAGCAGAGTGCAGGCAAGCATTGCTGCCTGAGCTCCTGTCAGATCAGTGGCAGCATTAGATTCTCACAGGAGCGCAAACTCTATTGTGAACTGCCCGTGCAAGTGATGCAAAGGATCTAGATTGTGCGCTTCTTATGAGAATCTAATGCCTTATGATCTGAGGTGGAACAGTTTCATCCCAAAACCATCCTCACCCCATCCGTGGAAAAACTGTTTTGCATGAAACCTGTCCCTGGTGCCAAAACGGTTGGGGGCCACTGATTCCCAGTGGAGGATCCCCAACAGGAGAGGGACAGCCCACTCCTTCAGGCTGTAATTCAACTTCTTATTCAAGAATGTGCCTGGGATATAACTAGTAAAATATAATTGTAATTGCTATTCACATTATAAATCCACTGCTTTCTAAACTTTTCCATGAAACTAATAAAATTAAAATTTCAGTTTACAGTTTTAATTTGCATAAATAGTGAACACAACATTTGAAAGTAACACAAATTAAGAGCAACCATTAGTGAATTCAGTTTTTTTCCCCTGAAATATAAACGTTAAAACAAAAAAAAAGTTTTGGCTGATTTGAAGTACTTTGCTACAGAAATTGCAATTGAAATACAAGGGGACTTCAAAAAGTTTGTGGAAAAATATAATTAAAAGATAAAAATAAAAAATATAAACTTTATTCATCAAGTTTAAGATACTTTAATAAGCCATGAGACCAGCCATTTAGTCCATCCCTAAAAAACTAAGGATCCCTGGAAGTTAACCAGGTAAATGCAGTCTTTTTTACGTTATTAATTGAAGAAAAATGGGTGCCCTTTAAAGATTGCTTAAGATTAGAAAACAAAAAGGAAGCAGAAGTAGCCAAATCAAGACTATAAGGAGGGCCAGGCACAGTCGCTCACGCCTGTCATCCCAGCACTTTGGGAGGCCGAGGTGGGTGGATCACGAAGTCAGGAGTTCGAGACCAGCCTGGCCAATATAGGGAAACCCCGTCTCTACTAAAAATACAAAATTTAGCCGGGCGTGGTGGCACACGCCCGTAACCCCAGCTACTCAGGAGGTGGAGGCAGGAGAATCATTTGAACCTGGGAGGCGGAGGATGCAGTGAGCCGAGATCGCACCACTGCACTCCAGCCTGGGCGACAGAGTGAGACTCCATCTCAGAAAAAAATAAAAATAATAAAAAAAAATAACTGGGCATGGTAGCATGTTTCTGTACTCTCAGCTACTCGGGAGCCTGAGGCAGGAGAATCAGTTGAACCCAGGAGATGGAGGTTTTGGTGAGCTGAGAATGTGCCACTGCACTCCAGCCTGGGTGACAAAGAGAGACTCTGCCTCAGCAGCAACAACAACAAAAATTTAAATTAGAAAGAAAAAGACTGTAATGAGGATGCCTATACATTTCTGATTGAAACTCTCCCAAAGTCTCCTTAGTTTGATGAGATGAATGAGCAGGAGCATTGTTGTGGTGGAGACTTGACTCTGGTGAAGCTTTTCTACTGCTATGTGGAGTGACGACACATGGGAGCAATGAAAATGCTGCCAGGACTTCATGGAAGCATTTGAGTTCTTATTCTTTTCTGAGACGGAGTTTCGCTGTTGTCCAGGCTGGAGTGCAGTGGCGCAATCTCGGCTCACTGCAGGCTCCGCCCCCGGGATTCACGCCATTCTCCTGCCTCAGCCTCCCGAATAGCTGGGACTGCAGGCGCCCGCCACCATGCCCTGCTAATTTTTTGTATTTTTAGTAGAGACGGGGTTTCACCGTGTTAGGCAGGATGGTCTCCTGACCTCATGATCCACCCGCCTCAGCCTTCCAAAGTGCTGGGATTACAGGCGTGAGCCATTTTTTTTTTACCCTCACCCCAATCCCTGCCATTTATTTATTAATTACTGGAGAATTTGCTCTGTCCTTTTTGTATCAATTATCTGTATGAGTTTACTGTTTTTCTAACTTCCTCCGCAGTGTTATTGCTGAAGTAATTTTTTATCACCTATAAACTGATTATTTCCCATAGATCTGTTTGCTGAATTCATTTTAGATCACACTCGAAAGTCACTATGTAATTCACATTCCCCAACTCAATCTGTCGGTAATCATTTTTTACTGTTAATGGGGAATATTTAATTTCCATTCCACTAATATTCATTTTTTATTGTTTTTGACACTTTCTTTACATTTACTGGTTTATTATAAAGGCTACAATTCGGGAACAAATAGAAGAGATACATAGGGCAAGTTATGGGGGTTGGGGAGTGGTGCAGAGCTTCTGTGCCCTCTCTGGGTGCACCACGCTCCCCATACCCCAGTGTGCTCACCAAGTGGGATGCTCCCTGAATCTCATTGGTGAAAAGTTTATATAACTCACTCTCCAGCCCTCCTCTCATCTCCAGAGGCTGGCGGGTGGAAATGAAATTTCCAGCTCTCTAATTATTTGGTCTTTCTGGTGACTAGCCCCATCTTGAGGCTATCTAGGAGCTTTATTCAACACCATCTCATTAACATAAATTCAGATGTGATGGCATTTTTTATTTTTTAATAGTCTAATAGTTCTTCTTTTACTTGGTACTCTGTTCTGTCAATAAAACACAATAAATAGTATAATTTTGCTGTGAAACAGGTGATAATATATATTTGAGACTAACAAGTTAAATTAACCTGTGTTCATTCTTCTTGCATTGTCTAATTTGTAGCCAATATTATGTTCTTAGTTTTTCTACATTTAGTATCTATTATATATCTGCACTTTACTGGGCTAACAATTCTAATCAATTTTCTATATGACAAAGGGAGATTGATAAACTTGCATTTCAAGTTTCTCACCTTTACTCTTGTTTATTCCTAAGTTAAAAGCCACTGAAATTTCTGTTTTTAATAATATAACCGAAGCATTTTCAGCAAGTCAACTGACATACAACTAGCTCTTTTAAAGAAAAATTACGTTTATATTGATGCTGAGCATATCTCAATGGGCACCAATTTCCTAATCAATGCTCATGAATGATTTTCTTTCAACATTACTCTTCCGTGGTTAAGATCTAAGAAATATACATGTTTGGAATAACAGAAGAGTGCTTTTTCTTTCATTGAAATTTCCTTTATTTTCTGGAGAAAGACTGTTTCTTGAAATAGATCACTTAGCAAAGCAAAAACAATTCATTAAAAAATATTTTCCCTCAAACTAAAAATGTAATTCACATAAAGAACATTAAACTTGAATCAATAATTATACAATTAAGAAAAACGTTACTGCAATTTTCAATTATTATTACACTTTTAACTATTTATGCTTTTAAACTTAGTTTTCATTGCATGGGTATGCATAAATAGTAGGTCCTTAGACAGCAAGAATCAATCATGAGAAATTCAGTTTCTACCTGTAAAAACTAAAGGGTTAGTCACAATCTTTATAAGACTTCTTCCGTTTCTAAGATTTCATTTTATTCTTGGTGAAGGATTAGAGAGGGAAATTCTAAATAATATCACTCTTAGATTACCAAAAATATTTTTTTCACTACTGCAAGAAGCATTTTTTTAGGTTCAATTTAAATTAAGGGAAGGCTTTGCTTAAAGGCATTCATATTTTCATAGGTGAGGGCTACATTCTACTTTCAGTAAAGAACACACACAAAAAAACAATATTTGTGATTTTGCTTGCATTCAATAACTTCAAAAAATCATTGTGGCCAGGCGTGGTGGCTCATGCCTGTAATCCCAGCACTTTGGGAGGCCGAGGCGGGTGTATCGTGGGGTCAGGAGTCCGAGACCAGCTTGGCCAATACGGTGAAACCCCGTCTCTACTAAAAATACAAAAATTAGCTGGGCATGGTGGCGCATGCCTGTAGACCCAGCTACTCGGGAGCCTGAGGCAGAAGAATCGCTTGAACCCTGGAGGCGGAGGTTGCGGTGAGCTGAGATCGTGCCACTGCACTCCAGCCTGGGCGACACAGTGAGACTCCGTCTCAAAAAAAAAAAAAAAATCATTGTGCCAAAGAATTTTTTCAATAAAATATGGCATTTATTACAAAATTAACAATATTGGCATTCACGCACTCCTGCAAAAGTCTCATCCAAATATATCTATGTGAAAATATTTAGCCATGTTCTTGTTCTTCTAGCTAATTTGGCAGAAATAACCACTTCTCTCAAAATCTTTATTATTATTTCTACTTAGTTCTACTCCTCTCAAGGATTTCCCACGTATTTAACATCTTCAATGAATTCCAAAGAAACGATGTACTATTTCAGGCTATTTTTAAGAATATGATACAAACCAGGCCCAACCAGACATATTCTTTTTGGTCTAGATCCTTGCTTATCTTGCAGGGCATTTATCTCTAAACAATTTGTATTATATAATTTGCCCTTTAAGTATGAGTGGGTCACAATATGGGATGCATTTGCTAGTTTTGTACATACTTTCTTATCACAACTGCCTAATTGTAGTCCATTCATATGTGAGCCGAGAAGACCTTATTATCAATATATTAATAACAAATGTAAACCAACAATTTACAATACACCAGGCAATGTGCCAAATGTTGGGGATATGGAGAGATAAGCAGAATATTGTTTCCATGGAGTCTGAAAAGATGGCAAATATTACTTAAAATAATTTAAAATATTTTAATTACTTTTATCCCTAATATTCATTAACTTCAGCATAAGCCACAATTTCTTTTTTATTAAAATATTCAAAGAACTTTTATTGAACAGAATATCTGTTCAAGTTTTCAACCTAATGTTTTCCCATTAATTTTCCAATCAATATGTCAACAAAATATTTATGCTTTATCACCTGAACTGGCCATTTACAACATAATATTTGTAAAAACTATCACAAAAACATACTTACTGGTAGGAGGGGGATTGGAAGTGCTGCAAGATATGAAAATACCTAGACTTAGGATCAGGTATGTTTTCTAAGGCATAAAGGAGTTAGTTTTCATTGGAAATGAAGCCCGTATTCAGAGAAGCTGACAGTGTTGATTCTGGATGTCTCTAGTTAAGGTATACTTTAGGTCCAGCTACACCTTGACTCCATCCTTCATAGCATTTGCTTATACAGCCTTCAGGTATGTGGTATTATATCATTGCATAAAATCCCCCTTTTGCCTACGTTAGTTTGAGACACATTTTCGTCATTAAAAAACAAGATCGACTACTACAGAATTCATCTTACATTGGATATGTACATTAAACATAACAAATCCCTAAAAGTCTATTAATTGGATGGTGTGACAAATAATAATGTATTCATATTAATAATTCATGTGCTCTTTTATTCAACATACATTTATTGAACATCTACTATGTTCAAGGCACTGTGCTAGACACTAGGAATACAAAGATGAACAAAGCAGATTGTTGCCCTCCATAATCTTCAATCTTACACAGAAGACTCTACTACTTAATATTTAGTTTTGCTTGACAGAGATAGGAAGGAAGCAAAAGTGTCTAAAGCATCTCCTCAGGGAAACTAAAAATTATTATTTTTTCTTTTACAATGATTATTGATACATAAGTTATATATATTATGGGGGTACATGTGATAATTTGATGCCTATATACAATGTGTGATGATCAAATCAGGATAATTGGGATACCCATCACCTCAAACATTTATGTTTTCTTTCGTGTTGGGAACATAGCAATTCTTCTCTTCTAGCTATTTTGAAGTATACCGTAAATTATTGTTAACTACAATTTCCTATTTTATTATTGAACACTGAACTTATTCCTTCTACCTGCTATTAACAATACATATTTTAGAGGAACCAATAACAAGCTAATTAATATAAATTTATTGAAAACTTGTTCATCAAGATACTCACTGATATTTCAGCAGGGTACATGCAACAAACATCTTGTAAAATGTACGTATTTCCTCAAATGGCACTTTATTCTGTATTTGCCAGTCACATTTTCCATACTCAAGCAAAGTGACCTTTTTAACTTAACTTAGATTAGGGTTTATGAGTGGCTTATTTTTCAAATTATATTTGACTTTCTCCTAATTAAAAATATCTTTTTATTTATTTCTTTTTTTAAAAAAAATTTGTATAAATTTATGGGGCAATGAATACTTTTATTACATGTTTATAATGCACAGTGATCAAGTCAGGACATTTAGGTATCAATCCTATGTGGAATAGGAGTGATGACAGCTGGCATCCTTGTCTTCTTCTAGTTCTTAAGGAAAAGGCTTTCTGCGTTTCCCCTTTGAGTATGAGGTTAGCTATGCGTTTGTCCTATACGGCCTTTATTATGTTGAGGTACATTCCTTCTATACCTAGTTTGTTGAGAGTTGTTGTCATAAAGGGATATTAAATTTTGTCAAATTTTTTTTCTGCATCTATTGGAATATCATATGGTTTTTGTCCCCAATTCCATTAATGTAATGTATCACCTTTATAGAATTGCATATGTTGAACAATCCTTGCATACCTGGTATAAATGCCACTTGATCAAGGTGTATTATCTTTTTGTTATGTTATTGGATTTATTTTGCTAGTGTTTTGTTGCAGATTTTTGTGTCCATGTTCCTTAGACATATTAGGGATTTCTTGTTTTGTTGTGTTCTTGTCTGGTTTTGGTGTCGGGTTGATGCTGGCCTCATAAAATGAGATAGGGAGAATACTCTCATCTTCAATTTGTTGGAATGGTTTCAGGAAGGTAGTTATTAGTTCTTCTTTGTATGTATGATTGAATTCAACTGTGATTCCATCTGATACAGGGTTTTTCTATGTTGAGAGACTTTTTATTACTGATTCACTCTTGCTACTTGTTATTGGTCTGTTTAGGTTTTCTACCTCCTGATTTAACCTTGGTAGGTTGTATGTTTCTAGGAATTTATCCATTTCCAGTTTTTCAGTGTATAGTTGGTCATAATAGTTCTCTGATGATCTTCTGTATTTCTGTGGTATCTGTTGTAATATATCCTTTTTTATTTCTTAGTTTGTTTATTTAGGTCTTTCTGCTTGATTAGTTTAGCTGCAGGTTTATCCATTTTGTTTATATTTTTGAATAACCAACTTTTTGTTTTACTGATCCTTTGTATTGTTTATTTAGTCTCTATTTCATTTAGTTCTGGTCTCATTTTTATTTTTTTTCATCTGCTAATTTTGAATTTGGTTTGTTCTTGTTTTTCTAGTTCCTTTAGATTGTGAATTTTTCTGCTTTTTTGATGTTGGCATTTATTGCTATAAAATTCTCTCTTTGCATTGCTTTTGCTGTACCCTATAGGTTTTGGTATGCTCTGTCTTTATTTTCATTTGTTTCGAAACCTTTTTATTTTCATCTTAATTTCTTCATTGGCTCAATGTTAATGCAGGAGCTTGTTGTTTACTTTTCAGTGTTCCTCTTGGTATTGATTTCTAGTTTTATTCCATTGTGGTCTGAGAAGATACTTGATATAATTTCAATTTTTAAAAAAAATTGATGAGACTTGTTTTGCTGTCTCACATATGATCTATCCTGGAGAATTTTCCACATGCTTATGATAGGAATGTATATTCTGCCATCGCTGGATAGAATGTTGTGTAAATGTCTATTATGTCCATTTGGACTAAAGACTAGTTTAAATCCAATGTTTCTTTGCTGATTTTCTGTCTAGATAATCTGCCTAATGCTGAGAGTGGGGTGTTAAAGTCTCTCACTATTATTCTTTATAGCCTCTCTCTCTTTAGATCTAGTAATATTTTCTTTATAAATCTGGGTACTCCAGTGTTGAGTACATGTATATATAGAATTGTTATATTCTCTTACTGAATTCATTCCTTTATGATTATATAATGACTTTTGTCTTTTTTTAAACTGCTTTTCACTTAAAGTCCATTTTACCTGATATAAATGTAGCTATTCCTGCTTGCTTTTGGTTTCCTTTTATGTGGAATATCTTTTTCCATTCCTTTACTTTCAGTCTATATGTGTCTTCACTGGTAAGGTGAGTTTCTTATTAGTAGCAAAAGTTGGTTCATGTTTTCTAATCTATTCAGCCAGTCTATAACTTTTAAGTGGAGAATTTAGTTCATTTATATTTAAGATTATTATTGATACGTGAGGCTTTGTTCCTGTCATATTGTTGTTTTCTGGTTGTTGTATATATTCCTTGTCCTTTTCTTTTTCTCTTATTGATACTCTTTGTTGTTTGGTGGATTTCTGCAGTGGCACTGTTTGAGTTTTATCTCTTCCTCCTTTGTATTATTATTTTAACCAGTGATTTTACACTTTTACTTGTTTTCATGCTGGTGAATGTTGTTCTTTTGCTTTCTGGTTTAGGACGAGCATTTCTTGTAGGACTGGTCTAGTGGTTATGGATTCCCTCAGCATTTGCTTGACTAGGAAAGACTTTATTTCTACGTCATTAATGAAGGATAATTTTGCTGGATATAGCATTTTTGACTGACATTTTTTCAGCACTGAGTAGATCATCCAATTCTCTTCTGGCCTGTAAGTGTTCAACTGACAAATCTGCTTTTAATCTAATGGGGTTCCCTTTATAGATGACTAGATATTTTCTCTTGCTGTTTTTAGGATTGGCTTTTTATCTATAGCTTTAGACAGTCATACTATAATGTGCCATGGAGACACATTTGTATTTTATCAACCTGGGGATTGCTAAGCCTCTTTTATCTGAATGTCTAAATCTTTTGCTAGATTTGGGAAATTTTCATCTATCATTTCGTTAAACAGTTTCTAATCTTTTTGTTGTTGTTTCTTCACCCTTGGAGATATCAGTAACTTGACTATCCAATGGTTTTATGTTGTCTCAAATGTCAAAATGGCTTTGCTCATTCTTTTTAAGTTTTTTTTCTATATTTTTGTCTGACTGCATTATTTCAAAAGACCTATCTTCAAATTCTGAGATTATTTCTTCTGCCTGATCTAGCTTCCAGTTTTGATACTTTCAAATGTATTTTGTTTTTCCTTCAAAAAGTACCTCAGTTCCAGAATTTCTATTTGTTTTTTCTTAAGGAAAAAAATATCTTTGGTAAATTTCTCATTCATATCCTGGATTGTTTTTTCTGATTTCTTTGTATCATTTTCAGACTTCTCTTGTGTTTCACTGAGTGTTTGAAAAATAAATATTTTGAATTCTTTGCCTGAAATGTTGCATTTTGTTTCGATTAAGATCTATTACTAGAGAATTACAGTGTTCCTCTGGCGGTGTCACATTTCCTTGTTTTTTCATGCTTCATGTATCCTTGCATTGATATCTGCACATATGGTGTAACTGTTGCTTCTTCCTATTTTTGAATTTACTTGTGTAGGGGAGAACTTTTCCTAAGGATATTTCTATGGAGTTGTTCGGGTAGGGTACTTTGACTTTGATTCTAAGTGTGTCTCTGTATAATTTCTTTTGCTACATACAGCATTAGTGATGCCTGTCATTTTTTGGTGGGTTAGGGTATGGTTATTAGTGGAGGCTGTGGTGAAGTTATGCTGGGTACTAGGATATCAGGTGGGCCAGTGTTCAGGCCACAGTGCTGGCAGCAGTGGGTTGAGTTTGCCTATTTTTGTTCCACTGGGTGATATACACAGGTACTTTTGTTTGCAGTTACTGGAGGGCTGACTCTTGAAACTCCAGATGTCTTGCTCAGATTCCAGTAGTGGCAGCAGTAGGCCAAGTGGGTGTTCAGATACTTGGACATTGGGTAGCTGGTGTGGCATGGAGGATGGCAATAGCAATGGCAGAAAAATTATTTGGGTCTCAGTTGGTGTGTGTTGATGTTGGTGGTAGCAGCAATGGGCTAGGCGGGCCCATTTCCAGGCTCACAGATGGCACTTGCAGATAAGTGCCAGCTGAAGTGGTAGTGGCTGGGAGTTTAGAGCCAACTTCAGGATGCTAGTAGGAGTGCTCTGGTTCCAGAGTGGTAAATTGGGTTGGGCCATCCCCAAGGCCACAGGCTACGTGCTCTGTCTTGCAGATGCAATGCCGGGCTGGGTGGCCTTTTGCTCAGTACCCCGAGTGGGGAAAGCAAGCACCAACCATTGTGGGTGGGGTAGGGTAATCCTCAGGTGCCAGGTGCAATGCTCCGGGGAGAAGCAGTAGCAGCGATACTGAGACCCTGCCATTGGAGAGGGTGGGGTTATCCTCAGTGGCCATAGCTGGTAGAAAACACAGGTCTGTCTCATACTCCACCACTACCAGTGGTAGCCTGAGCCTAGCTCAGGCCCTAGCCCTGGCTACAGGAGTGTCCACCCAGCTGGCATCCATGTCTCAGTGTCAACTTGCATCCTGCTTGTGTCTCAGTCTCTGTCCTAGCAGTGCTTGCTTCCTGGCAGTGGCCGCTACAGCCCACACCTCACTTGCTTCTTAGCCTTGGCTGTAGGAACATTCTCGGCTTGCTCCTCAGTCCCATCAGGGACAGCCCAAGTTTCCCTAACACCTCAGACTCAACGCTGCTGCACCCCAGGACAACAGAAAGCCTGTCAAAAGCTAGGTTTAAAAATGGCACCTTGCTGTAGCCACTTAGGTCTCAGAAAGGGTGTGGGACCCAGTGCAAGCTCCCTCCCTGGAGCAGTTCCTTCTTTCTGCAGTCTATTGGCAACTCCCTATGATAGTTTCAGGGGTTGAGAATAATAAGGGGTTCTCCTATAGTCAGGACTGCATAATTCCATGATAGTGATGTGGGCCATTGGATGTGTCTTGCTCACCTAATCCCTGGGCTGGGAAGTCACTCCCAGCTTCCAGCTGATTCTGGGCAGGCAGACTGTCTCTCTCTCCCTTCTCCTTCCTGCTTTTGGTGTTTTTGTCACTTCCTTATTGAATTCCACCACCGTCTCTCAGGTAATATATTCAATATGTGACTGTCTATACACTATTTTGGTTTTTAAAATGGAGGAGGTGGGCATGAAAGGCTTCTTTCTAGTCAGCCATCTTGAGGCCCCACTCCAATCTCCTAATCAATAGCATCTGAATAAAAATTAACATGCAACATTGTACTGGCCCCATTATATATATTTTAGTTAAAAGGAAAGGGAGATGAACAATCTAATGAATATAGGGGTTCCGAAATATCACTGAATATATAAATGCATTGACATTTAAAATTTCTGCAAAGTGCCAAGAAAATTTAGCAAAATTATGGTGATATGGAAGAGAAACTTTAATCTCCTAATCCTGAGCTGAAGAGTTTTAGTAATAGCGTAACATCCAACTTAAAAGTGAGGATATCATAGTGTTCTGGAGAGGATTAAGTGAGCTAATACTTAAATAATTATCTCAACACCAAACACATAGTTGGCTTCCTTTCAAATTGTGTTCATTAAATACATGTATCTTTTTTAGTCTGAACATCTGAAGTTTACAGTCAACACCATTATTTTATAACAACAATGAATTAACCATTATACAAATACTTAAATAGTTTAAAAACTATCCTATGTATCCTTTGATTTCTTCATTGAGGAAGTTATCCTTGATGTCCTCTCCTGATTTTGGTTAGAGCCCAATTTATATGCACTTATTGTACATACTGTGTACCATCATATTTCACAGAAAGTTTGCTCCTTTCTTTTCCCTTTTTCAATAGACTGTTTTGCCCATGGCAACAGGGAAAAATCTTCCCTTTGCATAACCATTGTACATAAAAGAGGCTTAATAAATATTTACTAATTAATAAATTAGTGTGTTCCCTAACCTCAAGAGATTTACAATTATGGAGGATGATATACACATATATTACATGAATATAATATCATTGCATCTATTAAAGTGTACCATAGTATCTGATTTTATATATATATACACATATATGTGTTATATATACATACATATTATATGTATTATAATATATACATATATGATTATGTATTCATATATACAATATATACATATATATTATTTATACATATATACTATATATACACATATATACGATTATATATTATCATATATGTGTATATACCTGTATATGTACGTATATATATACCTGTATATGTACGTATATATATACCTGTATATGTACGTATATATACACCTGTATACATATACATATATATGCATACATGTGTATATATATATGCATACATATATACACACACACACACACACACACATATATATACCTGTTCATCCACCAAAATATAAACTCTGATGAAAAGGTTCATATCTTATTTATCCTTGTATCCCTCAGTGTCTGGCCTAGTGCCTGGCATATGTGTAGAATTTGCCTCATCTGGTTCTTTAGGAAATTGCTCCAACTTGTGTGTGTGTGTGTGTGTGTGTGTGTGTGTGTGTGTGTGTATAAATAGCATTTAGAATTTCGGAAGACACTGCTACTAGCCTGGGCTCAGAAGTTTAATTCAAGAGATTAAAGTGTCAGCTAAAAAAAATTCACTTGAAAAGAATATTCATATAACTCAGACAACCCTTGAGATAAATGATCCCTGATTCTGTGTGTGGGATTGATGGGAATACAGATATTTTAGAAATGATCATATTGGCAGTAAAACAACACAGTTTCAGGCATAATGGCATATGGGCTTTGGCTAGTAAAATAGAAAGTAATAGACTGGCCTGAGAAACATAGTTGACAGTACCAGAAAAATAAGTTTATAGGTTAGATGGAAGAATAAAAAGAATGTGAATTTTAAGCTTATAATGTGGCAAATTGAAGTATCTTCTCTGCTAAGAAACCATGTAATTATCTGAAGGTCAATCAGAATGGTCCTATTAAGCCAAGTCCTTCCTACAAATATTCCTGGGTATGGTACTTTCTATCAACCCATAATGACAGCTGTCATTTAAAAAGTGCAAAACTGCACTACACAATTATACTAAGTGCTTGCAAGTATGAATAATTGCCTAAGAATATGGTGATTTAAGGGTAGGTAAGTCTGAAGGCAGAAGAGAGACCAAATGACTTGTAATGGTCTTCTTTATCCTCATTGAGACACTGCTATTATCATTTTTAATAGACAAAAACAACATAAGCTATTTTTATAAAGATAATATCATATTCACATTTGCCATAGTCTGGTAAATTCTCTTTTTTGAAAGGAATTAAAGTTCTTATTCTCCACTTTTACTATGCATCAGTATTATTTTCCAGCCAGGTCCCCGTAGCCTCATACATTAACCAAGCCAGGGCCAGAACTCAATTTATAGGAAACCCAAAACTAGGACATAAAATAAATTGTATGCTCATAATAATTTTATAGAATATATTTATTTAGTGGTAAGCATCTTTAAATTTTATACTAAAATTTTCCTTCTATAGAAGATGATCATCATCTTATTTATCATCATTTATTCATCATCACTTCTAAGCACTTTAAAAGATTACAATAAAAGTCGTTTCCTCAGGTTCAAGCAAAGGGACAATTGTAGTTGTTTTCTATTGTTCTTGTCGATTTGTTCTGGAGCTTGGATGCCCTCATACTGATCTATTTCTTTTATTACTGGTTCATCTAATTCACTTATTGGCTGCCTATCCACCCAGTTCTTCAATAGATTCGTCTGCTTGTCACCCAGCGGCTCTCCCTGCCAACTGATATATCATCTTCCATCTGTTTAAATTCCTATGTTCTTTCTGGCACAGCTCCGCCTCCAGATTCCCTCCCAGCCACCTACCTTGCTGCCCTTCCATCTGCTATCATGACTAGTATCTTTTCTAACCTATTCCCAACCTAAGCCATCAATTTGCCACTTGAGTTTTTCAAAAGTTTATTTCTCAAAGGGCTATTACGATTACAGTAATAACTTATAATGCAATCTAGGAGCAGAACGGGTGAAAGGGCAGTTAATGGCCGTAAAAATCAAACATGCATTTAATATTTGAATTATTCTACCTCTTAAAATCGTTTACTGTTCTCTTCTTTCAGTGATGGTGTTTTAAAATAATGGAGTGCACCACCAAAAGATACGATCTTGTGATACATATTCTTCAAAGCACGGTTTTCTGTGTGGTATGATTCTTGTTAGTCTTCTGCTTAATTGCATTTGGTTCATTGTTCTAAAGTTTTGCATTCACTGATTAACAATCTCTCCTTGGACACTGTTCTCAAGAGAGTGCAATTCAATTCAATTTTGTGGCTTAATGTAACAGAATTTATTTTTGTTAGGATGTGTAGTGTAGTTCCTCATCAGATATTAAAGACATTATGTAAACAAAACTAGCATTTGGTAGTTACAGTTTCAAAATTTCTATATTCAAGTATAAAGATAGCATTTTCCCTCAGCATTGATTTAGTTGTTTGACAAAGTAAATGCTTGTTTCCATGCAGTAGATATGACATACTACAAATTAAAGCAATCTCAGGAAAATATTTAAAACTTTAGACTTATGTATCTTGACATAAGACTGAAAACTTCTAATTGCCCATTCACATTTCTAGAGGATATACCCTCCCTTTATCAACCACAACTTGGAAAATAGTTAAGCTTATTTTTATAGGAGATTCATTCAGAATTGATCCTTAAATTCAAAATAAGATAACAGTTTAGTAAAAAGGTAATGATTTTTTTTTTTAAGAAAAAAGACTTGGCTAATTTATTTCATGTCCTGGGAATATAATATTTCTATTTATGTTAGTTTGTATTAAAATTTAGAAAATTTTTAAATGTTTATTTTAATGTAGGTTTTATTATTTAGGTTTGTTAAAGACAACAGATCTGGAGACAACTGTCATTGAAAAGACAACTTGTTGGCCAGGTGCAGTGCCTCACGCCTGTAATCTCAGCACTTTGGGAGGCTGGGGTGGGCAGATCATCTGAGGCCAGGAGTTCAAGACCAGCCTGGCCAACATGGTGAAACCCTGTCTCTACTAAAAAATACAAAAATTAGCCAGATGTGGAGGCACATGCCTGTAATCCCAGCTACTCGGGAGGCCGAGGCAGAAGAGTCGCTTGAACTTGGGAGGTGGAGGTTGCAGTGAGCCGAGATTGCACCATTGCACTCCAGGAGGTTGCCGTGAGCCGAGACTGCGCCACTGGACTCCAGCCTGGGCGACAGAATGAAACTCCATCTCAAAAAAAAAAGATAACTTGTTAAACCCACAGATCACCAGAGCAGAGAGCACAGCACACCACAAGGAGCAACATGGAGAAGAACTGGGGCTGGTCAGGAGGCAGAGGGAGAGAGGGGGAACTGTGTGGTTTTCACCAGAACGAACAGGAGCAGGTAAGTGCTTAGGATTGGCTAGTTTGAAAAATTTCATTTGTCACTTGTCTGGTATGTGTCCCCGGGGTGATTAGCCAAGTGGATAGTGGCCCAGAGTGTGAGAGCCCAGATAAGGAAGGTGGTTGTAGTAGTGGGGCTCTGGATTGGTTGGTTTGCATTTGAAAAATGTACTCAGGGGCAAGTTGTATACTAACTCCAGTAATCAGCTAACACCTAGGAAGGGTGGTCCTTCCAGGGTCTGCAAAGCTAAAGTATCAGAATTCAGAAAATAAAAGACATGGTTAATACAATACAGTTATGCATCACTTAACTATGAGGATACATTCTGAGAAATGAGCAGTTAGGTGATTTTGACTGTGGGAACATCACGAAGTGTACTTAACGCAAACCTAGATGGTCTAGCCTACTTCATACGTAGGCTATATGGCATAGCCTATTGTTCCTCGGCTGCAAACATGAACAGCATGTTACCGTACTGAATACTGTAGGCAAGTATAACACAATGGTAAGTATTTGTGTATCTAAACATAGAAAAAAGGTAATGTGTTGCTCTATGTCATTACAAGGGCTACCATATCACTACGCAACAGGAAATTTTCTGCTCCATTATAATCTCATGGGACCACTGTCAAATATGCAATCAAAAAATATTTATGTGGTGCATGACTATTTAATTTAGAATTAGCAGCCATTAAAAAGAAATGCTGAGAATTTATCTGATTCAGGAGTCAGATACTTCTTTATCATTAAATGCCTCCAGTGAGATTAAACAATGTCTGTGGGTGTTCACTGCCTATTAAGTCAAGTCTAAACATGTTATTCTGGTGGCTAAGTTCCTAATAACCTGCCCCACCTTGTTTATTCTCAACTACACCACCCATCCAATCCCTCTGTTTCAGTACCAACATTAAAATATATACTATTAATTTTAGCCTCCATACTTTTATACATATTCTTCCTCCAGGTGCCATTTAAAAAATGTTGTGCATAATTCCTCATTTCTCCTATGACAGTAGAACGTTTTACCAAATATTTTTGGGTGCTCCTATGTTTTATCTTTTTCCCCCTGCATTTGACTTGTTTGTTCCCATTGAAAGCACAGGCCCTTCATCTTTTGCATCTACAAAACCAGAGTACCTAGCAAAACCAAACAAGAGGATTCTCAATAAATGCTTCCTTATTGCACTGAGTTGTCTTGTGAGAAGAAAGAGATTGATGAACAATGAAAATGGAGTAAAAGGTATATTTACAATAAGAGGGAATAAATTGGTGAAGCATCCATAAAGCTATATTAAACTGAGGCACTCCTCAGAGTCAACCCTTAAGAGCATATCTGAAAGAAAGATGTTTCATATGTTAATTACTCAGGGAAAACATTTTGAGGGGGAACCAATTTAATCATTTTTCTCGAATAGGAGAGAAAAGAAGATGATATCTCCCAACAATCACTCTTTGTTGTAGATTCATACTTGCAAAAGTTTTCTGTGAATTTCACAAAGCTTGCAACTCATCAGGACTGTTTACTGAAGTGCCCTATGGGAAATTTTCTTGTTGTCTAAACATAAGCTCTGATTTCCTCAATTTTCATATTAGCTTGCTTTGTTGAAAATGGGTATATTACCTCTTTTCAAATACTTGTAGGCCTCCTAATCATCCATAAGTAATCTGTAACTACCACAATCCTAAGTAAATATAGTATATACATTTAATTATATGTGTAAATGTATATACTATAAGTAAATATATATACTATACATTTACAGTATATATTTATAGTATATATACTATAGATATTTACAGTATATATAGTATACTATATATGTATAGTATATATAGTATATGTATAGTATATATACTGTATTGTATATATTTATAGTATATATACTGTAAATATATATACTATACTATATATTAACTTATAGTATATATGTTTCATATATAGTGTGTGTGTGTGTGTGTATATATATATATATATATATATATATGTATATGTATATGTAACTACCACTTAGGATTATGGTAGTTACAGATCACTTATAGTAGTTACTAAGTAGAAAACTAGATAGTTAGGTAGACAGATAAAGAGTATATATATATATATATATATATATATATATATATATATATATACACTATACTTTCTCCCTCTCTCTCAATATATATAGAGAGATTTCTACTTCAATTTATTACAACATAAGTACAAATATATTTTAGCTCTATCAGTATTTATTCCCTATAAAGAAATATTACACCTTTCTACTTTAAAATATTATTGTCAATTATTTCTCACTCTAAGTCACCCTTAAAATTTATTTTTAAAGAAATTATAAACCCTTATATTAGTAAACCTGTTACTTCAGAATTTTTTATACATTGATTTTGAGTCACTAATAATGTATATCAACTACAGTTTAAGTACATTTTTCTTTCAAAATCTTATGTTTGATGTTTCACTACTCTCTCATTCCATTTGCCCTGTTTCCTTTTTAATATATATTTTTGTAATATATTCAGTCTCCATTTCCAATTATATCTAATACGATTATATGTTGCCATAATAATCACTATCTAAACTCATTTTGGTGCCTCATATATACCAAACAAGATATTTAAAAATTCTCATCAATTTTTTGTTGGTTCCTCCCAATTGATAGCCTATAAAAATTAATTATAACCACCGTGGGAAGCAGGAACTGAGCACATCTTATTCTAGATTTTCCTTACGTGATCTGGAAACTATTCTTTATCTGAACATTATGTCTTTTAAATGAGATTGGCTAATGGCTTGGGTTGAGACTAGAAAGAAGACAGAGAGGTTTAGATAAGTACAAGGGCAGTGCTTCTTGAATCCCTTTGTTTATACACTCTCCCCTTGTTAGGCCATTAATTCTACTGCTATGATCTTGTCACCCAGCACGGGAGCTTTTATTCTCCTACTGTCAACTCAGCCAGATCCAACAAGTAGCACTGCCATTCTACTTATTACTCAGAATTTAGTGTGTGTCATTAGGCAATAAATATCTTTAAGTTTCTGCCCCCCTCCATTCTTTCTCATTTTCCTCTAGATTCCATTTTATTAGCTGTTAATCAGCCACCTCAGCCAGGAGGCATTTCAGCAGAACTGAACACCATGACTCAGCATCAGGAGACTTCTAAGATATATAGGTAGTAATATCTCCTTCCTTTTTTCCCCTCCCTAAGGAAAAACTTCAGGTGTGAGTTTCCTCTTATACCTAAACTAGATCAGCTTTGAAGATTTAAACCATTCTGTAATGCTGGGAGTTCTGTGCACAACACCTGGACAACAGGAAATCCAAATAATATAGCAACATTGTAGCAGAATTGAAATGCATAAAATGTAGCATTTTATGCTGTGCTCTTATTATCATCATTACTCTAAATTTCTTTCTTTTTAAAAAAAATAAAGTGATACTTTTTTTTCCCAAAACATACTTGTCCTTATCTATTCTTGGTCTTGATAGATGATTTAGCAAACACACTTTTAAAAACAGTATTAATAAACATACATGAGGAAGTAGATATACCTATATATTATAGTGCATATATTATGTTTTATAAACTATGAATTATAGTATATATGTATGTGTGTGCATATATATTCACTAGTAATATAAATTCACTAGTATATATATTCACTAGTAATATATGTTCACTAATAATATAAATTGAAAAGTAGCCTTAAAGAATTTTACTTATCTAGTGTCTCTTGCTTTATATTTATTAATTCTGTTTTCTCATCCTAAAGAAATGTTCAGGAATTAATCATTTGCCATGATATTTAAGCAAGAAACTTTAATTAACAATGACTTCTGACAAATATACTCGTATAGTACTGTGTTTTTCAGTTTTACAGAGTTTTTGTAAATTTTATTTGGATCTTATGTAGTGGGTCCTATAATTGTATAGGGGTAATTTTTAAAAAAACAAGAAATAAAACTCTTTTTTGGGTAAATGTCACAACACGTCATCTATCCATACATTTTGGAGTAAGGCATTCTTAACAAGAGGGAAAAACAAAACCAAACCAGCACAGGTAGAAGTCAAATGGTTTGTTTGACAGCAAGGTCTTCCCTCAAGGACATGCTAGTCCAAATTGTTTTAATTCCATCTGCTCAATTTGTATGCAACACAGTATTTGAGTTTGAGTACCTCGGTGCTTTCCTCTGCTTCTGGGAGAAGGATTGAGCATTTCTGGTGTCTACCCACATCTTTTACTAGAATTTGAAAATGTTGACATTAAGGAAATAATCTGAGCCAACGCGATGCCACAGCCGTGCTAAAACTTCCCCACAAGGAGGTAATTTCCACTTATTGATTCAGCTCATTCTACTGCTGCCCCTCCCCAGTTTGCAGTCTTCTACACATTCGAGCTCTAGTACATTCTTGGAAAGCTTTTGCATGCAAGATAAAATACCCTATGGTCCAATACTATCAAATATAGAAAGTCACCTCTCGTTTAACGTAACAATTGAGAGTCCTGATGCTGGCATTGCAATACTAAGGTCTGAGTCAACCTTATTAATATCGCATCACCATTATCCTAACTCAGCATATTCTAGTTTACAATTACCTAACCTATAAAAAAAACCTTGGACTTACCTTATGTGTTGACTTATCTGTCGTCCTGGGTATAATATCTATTGCAAATTGTCCATTTGAATAAATACAGCAACAGTTATACCACAATACGCCTCTCTCCTGCAGCAGAAAGCAAGTTAAAAGGACTTCATGCTGTGACCTCACAGGCAGGCACAGCCGCTCCCATCCTTCAGCCAACCTGGGGAGAGCAGGTTAGATGACAGAAAAGCCGGCTGTCTACATAGCAATACTTTCAAATAAAGCATTCCGTGCTGTGAGCTGGGAGATTTACATCTTCCAAATTCGGCTGGCCCGAGTCAATGCTGCTTCTATGCCTGAAAATATTAAGCATTTCACTGCAGTCACTTAATGCAAGAAACTATCTGAGGCGACTTCACAAACCCTGTCATTCTGTTCGGAGACTAAAGAATGAGCGCTGCATGCATAATTCATGCATTAAAATCTTCAATGCTCTTCCTGTAGTCGCTGTTCTATCCAGTAATGGGCTATTGATCACCTCACCACCAAGACAATTGGAGCTCCACGATTGGTTTATTTCCACAAATAAAATTACAACCTAAATCATAGGCAGAAGCCTCCAACCCTGCAACATCCACTCGGGGAAAATATTCACATAGAGGAGATGACATTTGCATACTGCAGAATGTTTATACTGGACTCTTTCTTTGGCAGAAATGCTACAGCATCTGCTGTCTTTTATTCAAAAGATATACTTTCTGCAAGTTTAGGCTGATATTTTACATTATAAGTGAGATATAAGGAATTGGCTTTTCGCTATCATTTCTGGAACATCAACAAGGCTAAATGAAAATTAAGAAAATAAATAAATAAATGAAAGAAAGAGAAAATATGTGGCTATAAAATATGGAGATTTTTACCAGGACTCATTTGAATAACCTTTTTTAGAAAAGTTTAATTTACAAATAATTAATTTTTCATTTCAAAAATGTGGAAGGAGTTTCTCTTAAAAATCATCAATATGGGTACAAGTGTTCATCAATATTAATTATTTTGGAACATAAGCACCTTTACTCTGGGTGTGTCAGTGGTTCTGAGAGCTCTTGCTCTTAGAATTTAAGCTTCTAAGAACACAGCATTGTTTTCATTGCCTGAAAAAAAAAAACAGGCTTTAAAACAAAATGTACATTTAATTTTGCTAATATTCATCAAGGGAAAACAAAGGTAGCATTTTAAAATGTCGTAACAGTATTTGCAAAAATACTAGGATGGGAGATTCATGTAAACCAGCAAATACATATATGTATAAAATGCTTGTCTATTTTTCAAAGTGTCTTAGATATAAAAATCAATTAAGCCTTATTTTTCCACCAAAAGTGGACTGAACATGATGTTATTAAGGTCACTGAGATGACTAAAGTCATGTCTTCCCAAAGCCTCTTTTTATACACTCTCTCACATACATGCACACACACACACAATTCATATTTCTATGTCATTCCACCTGATCATTTGTAAAATCAAAGTGAAACCTTCAAGTTCATTACTCAGGGTTAGAGTACAGGATAACTGTCAGAGTTAAACCAAAGTTTGCCAATTGATAATTATGCTGTAGGGAGGTGTTCACCCTTGGTGGTGTCATCATGGTCATTTTCATCAACAAATCAATAGCAGTTGATATCAGCCCTTGAAGGTAGTAGGGGTGCTGATGACAATAGGTGCAGACTTCAGAGATGTTGAAGTGCATGTGAAGTATAATCCCTGCTGAGCCATAGAGAAGACAGTTGCACTTGACTGATAAAGATGCTAAAACATTCCAAATGGCTGTCTGAGAAATTGGCCATACAATTCCTTTGTCTATTATGTATTCCATGTGCCACAATGTTTTGTTCTGCCCCGGGTAGCTTCTATTTTCATATTTGCAGGTATTGTCACCAAGCTAATAAACTTCAAGTAAACTACATACACTTTGTTTTATAATATTTCTCTCTTCTATGAGTAATATTATTTATTCCTTAAATAGAAGATTTAAAGGCCTCAGACTTTTTGAAAAATCACAGAAGTTTTATCAATTTAATCATATATAGAATCAATTTCATATAAAAAGATCATTTTATTTATAAATAGAAATTTGAATATTTTGAAATTTATTAGGTACAAGGTTATATAGAGTACAATAATTTAGGAAATCTAAATTATTGACAAAACCTACGATAATTACAAATGTAAGAATTAGAAATTTCAGTTTCCTAAAATGGCATGATTCAACAGTGCATAACCAGGTGGCTGGGAAGAGCATTAGCTTAGTCCCTCTTTCTTCAGTGAGTGGAAGGAAAGCCAATATCGTTTCTCACATACAAATCTCCATAGCCAACTCTGAAACAAAGACTGCAACTTTGCATCTGCTTGGTTAAGTTTCAGGATTCAATTGTCTAAAGATGGAGACAGAGATGAGAAACACACAAAGACACACATACACACATCATCATCAGCATTTCATCATTATCATCATCATTGTCATCATCCTAGAACAGACGAAAATTAGAACCCAGCAAAGTAGAGAAATATATGGCACAAGGGACACTGTGGAGATAGTAAATCCTGGGGAAATCAAAGAAAAGATGCAGCAAGTAAGCATTGAATGGAAATGATGGAGGAAAAGTAGACAATTGTACTCTCACATAAAACAAAGACAAGGTCGTAATAAAGAGCCAATTTCCATTTTTCAGAAGTCTGGCTATGCCTGAGAAAAACACTTAAACGATCTTTCCAAATGGATGGAAAACAGAGATGGCCACTTTAGACAAATGTGATGTCTTTGCAGATCAAGAGGCTTTCCAATATTTTGAATTTTATAGTGCATGTAAAATAAGGAGTGAACTCTATAATATGAATGGGGTCAATAAGATAAATCAAAATTTGGGTATAAATCAAAGCCAATTTGGGTATAAATCTGTTATCTCTATTAAGATGTCTAACTGACTACTGTCATTTGGAAAATGCATAATTTGTCTCCAACATAAAAAAAAAATGCCATGACAAGTTAGGAAAAGAATGCATCCTACCAAAGATTCTGCATTCCTGAGTTCAAGGGATAAGTACTGTGGGAGAAGATTTTATTTGTTCTCTAAGATTTAAGGCATGCTTTCTACTTTTCTCTCTGTGTCCTACCAATATCATAGACACTCTCTAACATAGCCCATTCATTTAATTAAAAATATTTATTGTGTACCTTCTACACACAAGGAATTGCACTAGATGCTAGGAAGTCAAATATGTATCAGTCAGTTGTTGCCTCCAAGGTGTTCACACTTGCATAAGGAAAACAGGCCACCACACTGTTGGAGAGTAATGCACACGGTCGCTATGATACTCATTGAGATATTTAAATTAGATAATTAACTAAATCACATAGAACTGTGTCTATATGTAAAATAACTGCTAGATAAATGTTAATTATTCTTATTTTATTCCACTATGCGAGGCATATCAGCAGAAGAAACATTGGCATTATCATTTACCCATGGGAGCATTGGGAAATGATTCATTGAGGGAAGGGGTGATATTTAAAGACACAGGGGTTTATAATGGAAACAATATGGGCTTTAATGTTTGTCAAATTTGATATTAAATTTAGGCTTTGCTGAATTTAACTATATGACTAGGATACACCATTTGTACTACAAGAGCATCAGTTTTATCGCGTAAAAATCAACTTAAATATCTATCTTTCTTTAGGTTTTTGTGGGAATTAAATAAATTATTTAGGGCACAATTGTTAACAATACAGTTTTTGGAGTCAGCCAATGAGAGTTTAAATCCTGCCTCAATTTCTTCATCTCTAAAATTGAGATATTGTCAACCTCATAGAGTTATTAGGAAATTCAACTATTACCATGTCTTTACATTACTTAACACAGTTTCTGATACAGTAAGGACTTTAGAAACATTAATTTATTTCCTCTCAAGGCTTAGTGTTGGAAGAAAAGGCTTGAAGGCATTTCCAGGAAAGAGAACAACACATGCATTTTTAGGGAGGGAGGACATTACATGATAAGCTTTGAGAAACTCAAGTTTCTCTATGATGAGAACTTTGGATGCAATGGACAATTTATCAGGTGATACGGCAAAATTATATAGAATCTGATTTATATAGACCTTTTAAAAACTGTTAAAATATTGATTATATAGGACAATTTCAACGCTGTTAAGATGTTTGATGCTATTCTGCAGAAATATAAATATTTCAAGATTTCACCAAGAGAGTAATATGGCCAGATTTTGTAGGGGAATGATAGACTGGATGCCATAAGCAGGGGCAAGGGATACATTTAATAAAATATCATTTCTAATCCACCAGAAGTGATGAGGCACTAAACAAGGCAAATGTAAGGATATGGTGATGAGGAAAATATTTTAGAGATATTTAAACACTAGAGTAGTAGTACTAAGTATTACAAGAATATGGTGAGATAATGAGAAAATAATTTTAGATTTAACAAAGGAGAGGTAAACTAGGAAGATGAAGAGTTAGGCACATAAAATTTCCAATAATCTATTGGATAATGAGTCTGTAGTTGAATACATTGGTTTGTTAGTGTCCAGAACTGCTTAAGCTATGGAAGTCCATGAAATAACTCAGGGTTTGAAAGTGTAAAGTGAAAAGAAGATGGAAAATAAAGCCCTGAAATGTGGATAAGTAAACATATACAAAAGACTTCTGTTAATATTTGACATATTAATAAATTGATGGTAAATTTGCATTACACATATACAATTGCATATACAATTGCTAATTTGCATTACACATATACAGTAAGCCTGGAAAAATGTTTAGTACTTTACTAAACTGATTTAATTTGATCATCACAAAGCCCTTATTAGTTAAGTAGCATCTATTTCCATTTTGCCAATGAAAAATCAGGCTAAAAGAAAATTAAGTAATTTGGTCAAGTCATACAACCGTGAACCAATGAGCTGGAAGTCACATCCAGGATTTATGACTTCATAGCTCAGGCCTCTTTCACTGCATCAAGCTGCTGAGAACCACAGACATAACAGAATGTTTTTTCTCAAATTTTTTTCCTTGCATTCTTATATCCCAGAATACCAACAAGTAGTCCCTGTTATATAAAAAGTATTTATAGTAATCACAACTAATTTTAAAAAGTAGAGATAGAAAAGAAAATTATAATATGGAAAAGAATTAATATTTGTTATTATGTTACTAAAATATATTATTGTATATATGTGTGGATATGTTTGTGTGTATACATACATACATATATGTGTTTAAATATATACCCCCATTACATCATTATACCAAGACTACTTTATAAAGAATATGCTATATTCTCAATTATAAGTGGGAGCTAAACATTGGGTACACGTGGACATAAAGATGGTAACAACAAACACCAGAGAATATAAGAGGGACAGGGAGAAGTGGGTAGGAGTCAGAAAAACTACCTGTTAGGTATCATGCTCATTACCTGGGTGATGGATTCAATCATACTCCAAACCTCAGTATCAAGCAGTATACTTTTGTAATAAACCTGTCCATGTAGCCCCTGGTTCTAAAATAAAATTTGGAAGAAAAAAGAAGATGCTATTACCTTATTCTATAGATTTTTTTTAAAGCTGGCTGAGATCATTTAAATAACTTTCTTAAAGGTACATAGATATAAGGAATAAGACAGAATTTGAGTTCCATATGACAAAAAGCCATGTTTATTACGTTATATCACACTTTAATAGCATTTTTAAAAATTCACTCAGAAATAATACAATAGAGCTACAAGTATCAACATAGAGCCTACAAGCTTAATGTTGAGGAAGAAAATGTACAGAAGAACTCATACATCACAATTCCAATCATAACATGTAAAAACAAGCAAGATAGTATAATAATATTTTTTCCCAGCACTTTGGGAGCCCGAGGCGAGCGGATCACCTGAGGTCAGGAGTTTGAGACCAGCCTGGCCAACATGGTGAAACCCCATCTCTACTAAAGGTACAAAAATTAGCCGGGCATGGTGTCGGGCACCTGTAATCCCAGCTACTCAGGAGGCTGAGGCAGGAGAATTGCTTGAACCTGGGAGGTGGGGGTTGCAGTGAGCTGAGATCATGCCATTGCACTCCAGCCTAGGTGACAGAGTGAGACTCTGCCTCAAAAAAAAAAAAAAAAAAAAAAAAGATTTATATTTTGTCTAGACTGGAAATTATAAAAAACATTGAGAAGTATATAAATATCAAATTCAGGATCATAGTTACTTCTGGGGAGCAGAGGAGGGTATTACCAGAAAGAAATTCACAGAAGATTTCAATTGCACATAGTACTATTTATTAAGCTGGTAGTGGAACACAAATTTTGATTTTGTTTTTGAATACTATCTAAATGCTTGAAATATCAATAATATATTTTAAAAGTGAGGAAAATATAATAAAGCCAGCTCCCTTGGTTTTATAGCTGGAGTCCCCTTTCTTCAGTTTCTATTTCCCTTTTAAGATGGTAACCAGGAGAAAAAAAATACTTCTAATGTCATCCAATTCTATTTGAAGCATCTCTCCAATCATTAAGAAAGAGATTCAATTAAAGAAAAAAATTAAAAATAAATATCTATAGTGAACAGGTATCCTAACATGTTTCAAAATTTGAGATACTTGTACATGGTTTATGTAACATTAAAGGATTTCTGGTTCCATTAAAATGCCCAAGATTTCCCCTAATGTTTCAAATAGTTTTCAAATATCCATATACCAAATCATTTCCCAGGTTTCATGAAAATGAGCTAATTGCAATTTAATCTCCATGTAAAATGAGACCACTAATACTACTACTAATGGTTACAAGTATAATTGAAAAACATAAAGTCTTTTAAGTTTATCAAAGTATAACAAGTAATTCTAATAATCTCTATTTAATCATATTTAATTTTAGTTACTTTAAAATAGGCAGTTTTTCTTTTTAAGTGACTAAATGCTCCTGGAGGAAGGCATATTCAACTCATATTTAAATCAAGAAATCTCAGCAACAAGTTCTGCCCCATGAGAGTCACCAAATAGCTTTGGATACCTGCCAATCTGTCTCTCTGGATACATATTAAGGAAGAGCTTTTAAAATTACATCCTACTTAGCTTCTCTAGTAACACATTTAAATATTTGAAAAATAATTTAGCCTAAACACATTTCCAGTCTCAAGACAATTAGACCTGTCTCATTATGTCTCAAATTATTTATTCAAGAAATATGTGTACACTCTTGGTTATTTTAGAACTTTTGAGCTTCTGAGAACTACGAATCAAACAGTAAGTAATTCCTTTAGGAAGATTTAATGTGGAGTGACGTCATCAAGTTGACAGAGATGGAGACATCAGCCTTATTTTCCCTACAAAGGCAAGAAAAACATCCTTGGGATTGCTCAAAGGTTCAAAAGAATCTATGCAACAAAATGAAACAAAACAAACAATAAATAAACAAAATGCCCAGAATAATCACACAATAAATCACTGGGAAGAATGGCACACCTGAGATATCTAGAGATGTCTAGAATGGTGGGGGCTATCAGTATTAGCCATGCATCAGGTGCCAACATGGTTTCCCGTGAATCTTCTCTGCAAGGGACACTGGTAACTTTCACCACTGAGGTCACCAAGAGCCATTGCCACTGTGAACAACCTGGAGAGGGAGATGCTGTGATCCCCCTAAAAAGGAATTATTATTGTGATGCTACCTCCCAAACCCCACCAAACTCTAGAATCATGACCACTCCACTTGTACCCATGTTCCAGACCACTGGCTCTATGATTCCACTGTAAGTGCCCATGTCTCAGACACCAGAGTCAGAGTCCCTGAGAGTTACCTACACTCCAGGTCCTATAGTCACTCTACACAACTGTATTCTGGACTCTGACTTCACTGCCACTCCACATGTGTCCACACCTCAGAATCAGAGCCACTGCTATGGTTTGAATATTTGTCCCCTCTGAACCTTACATTGAAATTTGATCCCCAATGTGGCAGTGTGGAACTTAATGGGAGGTGTCTGGGTCATGGGGATGGATACCTCAGGAATAGAGTAATGCCCTCCATCAGAGGTGAGTGAATTAGTTCCCACAAGAGCTGGTTGTTAAAAAGAGCCTGGTACTTCCTCACCCTCTCTCTTTCTTCCTCTCTTACCATGTCATCTCTGCACATGCTGGTTCCCCTTTGCCTTCTGCCATGACTGAAAGTATTCTGAGGCCTTTACCAGATGCAGCTGCTAGTGCCATGCTTCTTATAAAAACATAATAAGCATGTGAATCCTTCACTGGCAACCAAGGTATCCAGGTTCTCTCATCAAAATTGACTAGAAGGCTGGCATGACCCACGGAGAGAAGAAAGAACAGTGTGGTGCGGCAGCCAACCTGAGAACGACACAAGGAAGGGGAACCCCCTCCCCCGAGCCAAGAGAGGTGGTGAGTGAGCACGATACCCAGCTGGGTAAACTGTCCTTTTTCCACAGAAATGTGCAACCCACGGATCGGAAGATCCTACTTGTGAACCCACACCACCAGAGCCTAGTGTCCCAATCCCAGAACGTGCAGATTCTTACAGCCTCTCAGCTGGAATCTGCTTAAGCTTACTGAACTCCAGGGGGGAGGGGCGACCAGCACTGGCTGCAGCTGCCTGCTGTCTAAGCCATTTGAGCTCCTTGAGGGAGGAACAGCAGCCAGCACTGGGACCTACAATGCCTAACATGCTAAGCTCCCTGGGCGGGGGGAAGGGCGGCACCTATTTCCATAGCTCCAGGCTGTGCTTTTCCCTTGCTGGAGCCAGGAAGACTGGATAGCTTGGTCCCAAGACTTGGCCCCACAGCACAGCACACTTGCTGTGGAATACGGCCAGAGTGCCTCTTCAGGTCTAACCCTGAGGCATCCTTCCTCAGTGGGTGGGGCTTTCCTACAGGATTTCCAATAAGTCCAGCCAGAGGCTCAGGGACAGAATTCAGAGCTCCCTGGATCTGAGCCCCTAGTGAGAGGGGTGGCCGCAGTCTCTGGGGACCAGCAGACTTAGCCTCTCCTCCTGGTCATTCTGAAGACTCTGGGCAGCCCAGAGAAGTGGGCTTCCCCCCAGCAAAACACACCCTTTCCACCAAGGGATAAAGTGCTTCCTTAAACAGGTCCTGCTTCCTGTGCCACCCAACTGAGTGAGACCCTCCAACCGGGGTTGTCAGACACACCCTATACAGGAGCGATCCTACTAACATCAGCTTAGTCCCCCTCAAGGGCAGAGGTCCCAGAAGAAGGAGCAGGCACCCATCTTTGCTGCTCTTCAGCCTCCTTGAATCATATCTGCAGGCACAGGAGTGAATCAGATGAATAAGGCCTGAAGCGAACCCCCGGCAAACTGCAGCAGCCCTATGGAAGAGGGACCTGACTATTGAAAGAAAACAAACAAGGACAAAGTGACAAAAATAGCATCAACAACAAAAACAAAAAGGCCCCCAGAAAAACCCCATCCAAAGGTCAGCAGCCTCAAATACCAAAACTAGACAAACTCACAAAGATGAAAAAGAATTAATGAAAAAATGCTGAAAACCAAAAAGGCCAGAGTGCCTCCTCTCCCCCAAATAATTGCAGCATCTTTCCATCAAGGGCACAGAACTGGATGGAGGATCAGATGGATGAATTGACTGAAGTAGGCTTCAGAAGATGGGTAATAAAAAACTATGATGAGCTAAAGGAGCATGTTCTAACCCAATGCAAAGAAGCTAAGAACCTTGATAAAAGGTTAGAGAAATTACTAACTAGAATATCCAGTTTAGAGAGGAATATAAATTACATGATGGAGCTGAAAAACACAGCACGAGTACTTCGTGATGCATACACAAGTAAAAACAGAAGAATTGACAAAGCGGAAGAAAGGATATCAGAGTTTGAAGACCACCTTACTGAAATAAAACATGCGGACAAGAATAGAGAAAAAAAGAATGAAAAGGAATGAACAAAGCCTCCAAGAAATATGGAACTTCATAAAAAAACTGAACCTACAATTGATTGGACAACCAGAAGGAGATGGGGAGGATGGAATCAAGCTGGAAAACACACTTCAGTATATTATCCAGGAGAACTTCCCCAACCTAGAAAGACAGTCCAACATGCAAATTCAGGAAATACAGAGAATGCCATTAAGATGACACTCCATGAGAAGATCAACCCTAAGACACATAATCATCAGATTCTCCAACGTCAAAATGAAGGAAAAACTGTTAAGTGCAACCAGAAAGAAACGCCAGGTCACCTACAAAGGGAAGCCCATTAGAATAACAACAGACCTCTCAGAAGAAAGTCTACAAGCCAGAAGAGATGGGGGGCCAATATTCAACCTTAAAGGAAAGAATTTTCAACCCAGAATTTCATATCCAGCCAAACTAAGCTTCAGAAGCAAAGGAAAAATAAAATCCTTTCCAGACAAGCAAATGCTGAGGGATTTTGTCACCACCAGGCCTGCCCTGCAAGAGCTCCTGAAAAAAGCATTAAATACTAAAAGGAAAAACCAGTACCAGCCACTGCAAAAACACACCAAAACATAAAGACCAATGACACTACAAAGAAATTACATCAACTAGTGTGCAAAATAGCCAAATAGCATCATGATGATAGGATCAAACTCGCACATAACAATATTAACCTAAAATGTAAATGGGCTAAATGCCTCAATTAAAATACACAGACTGGCAAACTGGATAAGGAGTCAAGACCCATCAATGTGCTGTATTCAGGAGACCCATCTTACATGCAAAGACACACACAGTCTCAAAAGAAAGGGATGGAGGAAAATTTACCAAGGAAATGAAAAGCAAAAAAAAAAAAAAAAAAAAAAAAAAGCAGGGGTTGCAATCCTAGTCTCTGACAAAACCGGCTTTAAACCAACAAAGAGCTAAAAAGACAAAGAAGGGTATTGCATGATGGTAAAGGGAACAATTCAACAAGAAGAGCTAACTATTCTGAATATATATGCACCCAATAGAGGAGCACTAAGATTCATAAAACAAGTTCTTAGAGACCTACAAAGAGACTTAGACTACCACACAATAATAGTGTGAGACTTTAACACCCCACTGTCAGCATTAGGCAGATCAATGAGAGAGAAAATTAACAAGGATATTCAGGACTTGAACTCAGCTCTGGATCAAGGGGACCTAGTAGACATCTATGGATCTCCCTACTCCAAATCAACAGAATATACATTTTTCTCAGTGCCACATGGCACTTATTCTAAAATCGACCACATAATTGAAAGTAAAACACTCCTCAGCAAATGCAAAATAATGGAAATCATAACGAACAGTCTTGCAAACCACAGTGCAATCAAATTAGAACCCAGGATTAAGAAACTCACACAAAACTACACAATTTCATGGGAGTTGAACAACCTGCTCCTGAATGACTCCAGGGTAAATAATGAAATAAATTAAGGCAGAAATCAAGAAGTTATTTGAAACCAATGAGAACAAAGAGACAATGTACCAGAATCTCTGGGACACAGCTATGGCAGTGTTAAGAGGGAAATTTATAGCACTAAATGCCCACATCAGAAAGCTAAAAGGATCTCAAATCAATCTCTAATATTACAATTAAAAGAGCTAGAGAGGCAAGAGCAAAAGAATCCAAAAGCTGCCAGAAGACAAGAAATAAATAAGATCAGAGAAGAAGTGAAGGAAACAGAGACACGAAAAACCCTTCAAAAAAATCAATGAATTCAGGGGATGTTTTTTTGAAAAAAATAAATAAATAACAAGCTAGATTAATAGAGAAGAAGAGAGAGAAGAATCAAATAGACACAATAAAAAGTGGTAAAGGGGACATCACCATCGACCCCACAGAAATACAAACTACCGTCAGAGAATAATAAAAACACCTCTATGCAAATAAACTGGAAAATCTAGAAAAAATGGATAAATTCCTGGACATGTACACCGTATCAGGACTAAACCAGGAAGAATTTGAATCCCTGAATAGACCAATAACAAGCTCTGAAATTGAGGCAGTAATTAATAGCCTACCAACCAAAAAAAGCCCAGGACCAGATGGATTCACAGCTGAATTCTACCAGAAATACAAGGAGGAGCTAGTACCATTCCTTCTGAAACTATTCCAAACAATTGAAAAGGAGGGACTCCTCCCTAACTCATTTTATGAAGCCAGCATCATCCTGATACCAAAAGCAGGAAGAGACACAACAAAAAAAGAAAATGTCAGGCCAGTATCCCTGATGAACATCAATGCAAAAACCTTCAATAAAATACTGGCTAGCTGAATCCAGCAGCACACCAAAAAACGTATCCACCATGACCAAGTCAGCTTTAACCCTGGGATGCAAGGCTGGTTCAACATACACAAATCAATAAACATAATCCATCACATAAACAGAACCAAAGACAAAAACCACAAGATTATCTCAATAGATGCAATAAAGGCCTTTGATAAAATTCAACATCGCTTCATGTTAAAATCTCTCAATAAACTAAGTATTAATGGAACATATCTCAAAATAATTAGAGCTATTTATGACAAACCTACAGACAATGTCATGTAGAATGGACAAAAGCTGGAAGCATTCCCTTTGAAAACTGGTACAAGACAAGGATGCCCTTTCTCACCATTCCTATTCAACATAGAATTGGAAGTTCTGGCCAGGGCAATCAGGTAACAGAAAGAAATAAGGGGTGTCCAAATAGGAATAGAGGAAGTCAAGTTGTCTCTGTTTGTAGATGACATGATTTTATAGTTTGAAAACCCCATCATCTCAGCCCAAAGACTTCCTAAACTAATAAACAACTTCAGCAAAGTCTCAGGATACAAAATCAATGTGCAAAAATCACAAGCATTCCTTTACACCTACAATAGGCAAGCAGACAGCCAAATTATGAATGAAATCCCATTCACAATTGCTACAAAAAGAATAAAATACCTAGGAATACAGCTAACAAGGGATGTGAAGGACCTCTTCAAGGAGAACTACAAACCACTGCTCAAGCAAATGAGAGAACACAAACAAATGGAAAAATATTCCATCCTCATGGATAGGAAGAATCAATATTGTGAAAATGGCCATACTATCCAAAATAATTTATAGATTCAATGCTATTCCCATCAAACTACCATTGACATTCTTCACAGAATTAGAAAAATACTATTTTAAATTTCATATGGAATCTAAGAAGACCTCAAATAGCCAAGACAATCCTAAGCAAAAAGAACAGAGCTGGAGGTATGATGCCACCTGACTTCAAACTATACTACAAGGCTACAGTAACTGGGTTTCTCTTTCACTGTGTCACAAGGGTAGACACAAATAACAGACCAACAGAGAGCCAAATCATGAGTGAACTCCCATTCACAATTGCTTCAAAGAAAATCAACCTAGGAATCCAACTTACAAGGGATGGGAAGGACCTTTTCGAGGACAGCTACAAACTGCTGCTCAACGAAATAAAAGAGGACACAAACGAATGGAATAACATTCCATGCTCATGGATAGGCAGAATCAATATCGTGAAAATGTCCATATGCCCAAGGTAATTTATAGATTCAATGCCATCCCCATCAAGCTACCAATGACTTTCTTCACAGAACTGGAAAAAAAACTACTTTAAAGTTCATATGGAACCAAAAAAGAGCCTGCATTGCCAAGACATTCCTAAGCCAAAAGAACAAAGCTGAAGGCATCACGCTACCTGACTTCAAACTATACTACAAGCCTACAGTAACCAAAACAGCATGATACTAGTACCAAAACAATCATATAGACCAATGGAGCAGAATAGAGACCTCAGAAATAACAGCACACATCTACAACCATCTGATCTTTGACAAACCTGACAAAAATAATCAATGGGGAAAGGATCTCCTATTCAGTAAATGGCTGGGAAAACTGGCTAACCATATGGAGAAAAAATGGAACTGGACTCCGTCCTTACGTCTTATACAAAAATTAACTCAAGATGGCTTAAAGACTCAAATGTAAAACACAAAACCATAAAAACCCTAGAAGAAAACCTAGGTAATACCATTTAGGACATAGGCATGGGCAAAGACTTTATGACAAAAACTCCAAAAGTAATTGCAACAAAAGCCAAAATTGACAAATGGGATCTAATTAAACTAAAGAGCTTCTGCACAGCAAAAGAAGCTATCATCAGAGTGAGGAGGCAAACTACAGAATGGGAGAAAATTTTTGCAATCTACCCATCTGACAAAGGTCTAATATCCAGAATTTATAGGGAACTTAAACGTATTTACAAGAAAAAGACAAACAGCACCATCAAAAAGTGGGCAAATGATATGAACAGACACTTCTCAAAAAAAAGACATTTACACGGCCAACAAACATATGAAAAAAAGCTGAACACCACTGATCCTCAGAGAAATGCAAATCAAAACCACAATGAGATACCATCTCACACCAGTCAGAATGGCCATTATTAAAATGTCAGGACATAATAGATGCTGGCGAGGCTGTGGAGAAATAGAAATATTTTTACACTGTTGGTGGGAATGTAAATTAGTTCAACCATTGTGGAAGACAGTATGGTGATTCCTCAAGGATCTAGAACCAGAAATACCATTTGACCCAGCAATCCCATTACTGGGTATATACCCAAAGGAATATAAATGATTCTATTATAAAGACACATGCAAATGTATGTTTATTGCAGCACTATTTACAATAGCAAAGACTTGGAACCCACCCAAATGCCCACCAATGATAGACTGAATAAAGAAAATGTGGTACATATACAACATAGAATACTATGCAGACATAAAAAGGAATGAGATCGTGTCCTTTGCAGGGAGACGGATGAGGTTGGAAGGCATCGATCTCACCAAACTAACCCAGGAACAGAAAACTAAACACTGCATGTTCTCACTCATAAGAAGGAGTTGAACATTGAGAACACGTGGACACAAAGAGGGGAACAACACATACCCTGGCCTGTTGTGGGTTGGGGGTTGAGGGGAGGGAACTTAGAGGATGGGTCAATAGGTGTAGCAAACCACCATGACACATGTATACTTATGTAACAAATCTGCATGTTCTGCACATGAATCCTGTTTTTTTTTTTTCTTTTTAGAAGCAAATAAGAAAAAACTGAAATTATTGTGTCAAAAATGGAGACAGCAAAAAATGAAAAGAAAGGAGGGGAAGGCAGAAAGAAAAAGAAAGAAAGAAAGAAGGAAAGAAAGAAAGAAAAAAAGAAAGAGAAAGAAAGGAAGGAAGGAAGGAAGGAAGGAAGGAAGAAAGAAAGAAAGAAAGAAAGGAAAGAAAGAGAAAGAAAGAAAGGATGGAAGGAAGGAAAAAGGATGGAAGGAAGGAAGGAATTGATTTTCAAAACAACCAAAAAAAAAAAAAAAATTAACAAACTGGCAGTATTAAGTCCTTACCTAAAATAATTACCTTGAATGCAAATGGATTAAATTCTCTCAACAAAAGATACAGAGTAGCTTAATGGATTAAAACAGACAAATGAACAGAAAAATAAGACCTAACTAGATGCTACCTACAAGAGACTCACTAGAGCTTTAAGGGCACATACAAAGTGAAGGGATGTAAGAAGATATTCCATGCAAATGGAACCCTAAATATACAAAATGGTCTTTTACAAAATAGACTTTAAGTAAAATACTGTCGTAAGAGACAAAGGTCATTATATCATGATAAAAGAGTGAATTCATCAAGATATAACCATTGTAAATATATATGCACCCAATACTATAGCAGCTAAATATATAAAACAAATATTAACAGAACTGATGGGAGAAATCAACACAAATACAATAGTATTAGGGGCTTCAATACCCCATTTTCAACAATGGATAAATCATCCAGACAGAAAATCAGTAAGAAAACAGCAGACATAAACAGAAACATTGTCTATAGGTTTCTTAAATAACCTATAGACAAAGTGAACACAAGACATACACAGAACATTCCATCCAACAGCAGCAGAATACATATTCTTCTCAAGTGTACACACAGCATTCTCTAGGATAGATCAAACATTGGGCCACAAAATCAGTCTTAGCAAATTTAAGAAGCTTGAAATCATATTAAGTATCTTTTATAATCAAATCTAGAAGTCAATAATAACAGAAAGACTGGAAAATTCACAAACATGTGGAAATTAAACAATATGCTCCTGAATAACCAATGAGTCAAAGAAATCAAAAGATAACTTTGAAAATATCTTAAGACAAACAAAAATGAAAACACAACATACCGAAATTTAAGGGATGCAGCAAAAGCAGTTCTAAGGAGACAGTTATGGCAATAAATGTCTACATTAAAAAAAAAAGAAAGATCTCACATAAACAACCTAACATTACATCTCAAGGAATGAGAAAAAGAAGAACAAACTAAGACTAAAATTAGTAGAAGAAACAAAATAACAAAATCAGAGCAGAAATAAGTGAAATAGAAAATGGAAAAACAATAGAAAATGTCAATGACACTAAGAGTTTTTTTTTTTTTGAAAAGATAAAGTTAACAAACCTTCAGTGAGACGAAGGAAAAAGGAGAAAAGACTCAAATAAAATGAGAAATGAAAAAGGATATAACAGGTGATATTACAAAACACAAAGGATTCTAAGAGGCTACTATGAACAATTATATCCAAACAAATTGGATAATCTAGAAGAAATCAATAAATTCCTAGAAGCATACAACCTATCAAGATTGAATTATGAAATAGAAAATCTAAACAGACAAATACAAGTAAGGCAATCTAATCAGTTATCAAAAATCTTCTATCAAAAAAAGCCCAGAAATGGATGACTTTACTGGTGAATTCTACCAAACATTTAGAAAAGAATTTACACCAATCTTTCTCAAACAGCTTGAAAAATTATAGAGAAGTGAACATTTTCAAACTCATTTTAATGAGGCCAGCTTTATCCTTATACCAAAGCCAGATAAACACACTACAAGAAAAGAAAATTACAGGCCAATTCTGATAAACATAGATGCAAATATCCTCAACTCAGTGTTTTCAAAAGGCATATTGTGTTGCCTGTATAAAATACCAGCAAAGGGTTATGTAATACATTATGGATGATACTAAAAAAATTAAAAACAGAATGACCATATTATCAAGCAATCCGATTTCAGGGTGTATATCCAAAGAAAATTTAATCACTGTCTTGAAGAAATATCTGTACTTCCATGTTCACTGCAGCATTATTCTCAATAACCAAGTAATGAACACAACCTAAGTGTCCATTGATGAATGAACGGATAAAGAAATTTGATGTACACGCAATTAAATATTAATCAATTTTTATTTGTTATTTATTTTTAGAGACAGGCTTTCATTCTGTCACCCAGGCTGGAGTACAGTGCCATGGTTGTAGCTGATTGTAACCTCAAACTTCTGGGGTCAAGTGATCTTCCTGCCTCAGCAGTCATGTACCACCATGCCTAGCTACTTTATTTATTTATTTATATTTGGTAGATATGAGGTCTTACTATGTTGCCTAGCTGGTTTCAAACTCTTGCCCTCAAGCAATCCTGCAGTCTTAGCCTCCCAAAGGTCTGAAATTATAGGCATGAGCCACTATTCCAGCTCAATTTTTAAAAGGAAGGAAATCCTGTCATTTGCAACAACTAGGATGAACCTGGAGAACATTATGCTAACTGAAGTGTCATACACAGAAAGATAAATACTATGTAATCTCACTTATATGTGAAATCTAAAAAAAAAAAAAATCAATCTCATAGAAACAGAATAGAAGGTTAGGTACTAGATGTTAGGGTGTGGTGGAAATGGGGAGATGTTGGTCAAAGGGTACAAACGTGGCAGTTGTAAGATGAATAAGTTCTAGAGACCTCACGTAAAACATGGTGACTATAGTTAATAATGCCATATTATACACTTGAAATTCTCTTAGAAAGTAGATCTTAAGTATTGTCAGCACAAAAAGGACAAAAGGTAGCTATGTGAGATGATGGCTATGTTAACAAACTTTATTGTGGAAATCATTTAGCAATTTGTATATAGATATCAAAACATCACTTTGTGACTCATATACACCTTTAATACATAAAATTTTTATTTGTCAAGTATACCTCAACAAAGCTGAAGAATATAAAAGAGGGCTTATTATAGGAATGCATGAATGAATAAATGCCCCAAACAAAATTCGCTACAATACTTGATTTAAAATACAGGCTTCATTTATGGACTTTCAGCCTCATTATCATTAAAAAGGTACTTATCTAAAAACTTTTGCATATATTTTTTAAAATAACCATACCATGATTACAGCATACAAGTATATATTGTTCACACTAATAATGCACACTGATCCATCCTCTACCAGCCCCAAAGATAGCCACTATCCTGACGACTAACAATAGAGATTAGTGTCACCTGATTTTTATTAAAAACAATCTGTAGAGTTGTAAAATTCTCCAAATATATAGAGTCATTTACAAATGAGTTTTGACTTTTGTGTGTGTGTGTGTGTGTGTGTGTGTGTGTGTGTGAGACAGAGTCTCACTCTGTTGCCCAGGCTGGAGTGCAGTGGCACAATCTCGGCTCACTGCAACCTCTGCCCCCCGGGTTCAAGCAATTCTCCTGCCTCAGCCTCCTGAGTAGCTGGGATTACAGGCGTGCACCACCACACCTGGCTAATTTTATATTTTTAGTAGAGACAGGTCATGCTGGTCAGGCTGATCTTGAACTCCTGACCTCGTGATCCGCCTGCCTTGGCCTCCCAAAGTGCTGGGCTTACAGGCGTGAGCCACTGTGCCCGGCCAATAAATGTTTTATATATATATATTCTTTCCATTCTTACTTGACTATAGGTTCAAGATATAAAATTTGTTGATTCATTTAATAAGATGATTTTGTATAAGTTCCTTTTGATATGCATACTTTGGGACACATTTTATTTCCTGCCCCAAACTAACCCCCAGAGAAGGATATTAATGTACCAGCAAGTTATTTTGTAAAACATTCATTTTGTGGAGTTATTGCATAAGGTAATCAATCAACTTTGCTTCTTCATAAGGAGTTTTATCTTGAAACTAGCAGCTGTAATTTCCTGGAAAAGATTTTATCACAGACATCTGTCCTATGAAATTAAAGAGGAAGTCATAAAAATATCTTGAAAATACAACTAATATTTTAGTTCTAGGGAATGGTTGTAGGGATCTTTCTGAACAAAGTGTTACTTTATATAGAAATACACAATATTTCAATTAGAAATAATTGATTTAAAGTAGGTAATAAAATTCCTAATTTATGTGAATAACACATGATCTAGACTGCCTTCTTGGTGAAAAATCGTCAGATGCAAAATTCTTGACTAGAGTGACCACTATATGATCCAGTAATAATTATGTTTGAAAAATAATCTAAATTACATGCACAGAGAAAAACAAGGGAATGGAAGTGAAAGAAAAACCAGTTTGGACCATGCAGATGTATGAATTCAAAGAATAATACCTAGGTTTTTGTTTGTTTGTTTATTTGTTCGTTTGTTTTTATTGGCTAACCTTGACTTGAGCTCTTTCTTTCGCAAATATTCACTGATGTGGGCTGTGAGTCAAAACCCAATCTGGTGGTTGGAATTTAAAAGCTCTTGTCCTCAAAGGCTTAGAACCAGTGGTTTGTTGAGATCAGCCTGTCACAATATGGAAGAGCCTATTTTAATTTCAGGAATTTTGCAAGCTGGTTGTTTAAAAAAATCACAGTCATCATTAATAATTAAATGATAAGCTTTAAATTATATTTTTAAAATGCTAAATACTCTAAATCATTCCTATACATTTTAATATTATTAATGCTATAGAGATTATTTACACCTATTTTATCTGTATGGTGGAAATTCTGTATAATAGTGTGCTATTGAGTACTTCTTCCCAATTATATGATGTTCGATGACATCATGTTGGTAGCTTGGAATCAACCATGGTGGAAATATTTATATGACCAAAATCAGCAAATGCTGCACATTAGGGTTTTCTCTTTTCCCTGGGAGAGTCAGTTGTTACACATTTACCAGCACATCTCAGCTCACAATTCAATGACTTGAGAGATTTAAAGATAATTAACCGTAACTAACCCCAAAACATAGTGTTTTTAAATTTTGATTTTAACACAGTCAACTCAAAATTTTAACTAATGTTCCAGTATGGATAGGCAAAAGTTGAGCTATAGTAAGTTCTCTTTGGTCAACTGAACAATGACTGAATCTAAAAGAACACCCAGGGAATGCTTATTCCAAAAGATCTGTACTTTTACCATTGACAGTTGAGGGAAGAAAATTAAGAAACTATCAAAGGCAGTTATACTGTCTAAGTAAACAAAGAATTTGGAAAATCATTGTGGTTAAATTTGCTTCATCACAGGCATGCAAGTTAGCTATAAATATGCTTTGAACCATCCTATTTAAATTCCCATCCCTCCTGGATGACAATAATATTAAAAGACATTAAGAGATAAAAGAAAATGTTAAAGGTAATTATATTTAAAATTAACCCCAAATGTGCCTTTTTCCTATGGTTGAATAGGTTTACAAGGTAGTTACCTAAAAATACACAACAGTAATTTAAACAGTACAATGGCTTAACAAAGTAGGATAAGAATTATAGATTCCACTTGAAGAAACATAAGAACAGAAAATAATTTTGAGGTTCTGACAGGCTCTGAGAAGGATCTAATGAAGTCCACTCCTAACCTGTATCTGTCTTAATTAACTAAGATCTTCTAATCACTCTACATTTAGAGCACTTGCAGTACTATTCCAGAGTCCTTGAAAATGAGAGGCTTTGGCCTTTGGTGCAGCAGAAATCTTAAATGTAAGAAGAGGGTAGCACTAGCTTTTAGACAAGGCTAGAGCCACCTTTCGCCCTCCTTATGCTAGCTCTTTGGAAATGTCTACCATGTTAGCTCTGTTGGTGATCAAGTCTCTGGTCCATACTCTCTAGACTAGAGAACTACTCACCATGTAGGGATGGGGATAAAAAGAGGAGGGGTATAAAAATAATAATAATTATAATAATAATAATTGAGGGAACCATTTATATGATGTGGACACCCCCTTTTCTTGCAAGTATATGTCAGAAGTGAGGAGGTGAAATAGAAAGGAATGAAGAGCTATAGAGGAGGGAATATATGTTATTTCATTTCCAGGGATTTTATGCTTCTCGATCCCAGCCCAAGGTAAGTATCCATCCTTTAGGGTCCTCTCCAGGTATAGAATCAGTGATTATTTTGTATGAATTATCACTATTCTGTACCGTTCCTGTGCTTGGTATAGTGTGGCTGCTCTACATCAATATGACTGATAGTCAAAAAAGTTCTATAACTAGCCTTCATTTAGGATGTAGAAAGCTGCAAAGAATATTGCTTCTACCATAACTATGAAAAAACTGAATAAACTAGAAAATAATGATTTTATTGTTTGTCAGAGAGCTCAGACTACAAGGTAATCATGTAACCCATAAGTCAAAAAGGGACAAGTTCCTCCAAGGAAAAGCAGGGCACACAAACTGTCTCATTAGTGGTGGAGTATGGGAGAAAGAAGTGCCACACTAGGGACAATATGTGTGTGATTGAGACTTAATGAGCTAAAATTTTAAAGATCTGCAGAGGCCATATGGGCTACCATGTCAATCTGAAATAGCTCAGGACATCTGACAAAAAGAAAAGCTTTAATCACTTGCAGGCTCCAAGGATATTTTTCAAGTGCTCATAAAGAAGATTGGCGTTAGGGAAGGAGACCAGAGAGCCCCCACTGGTGGTCCATTTGGGTGGGAAATGATTGGGAACTGTGGAGGAATAGACATGTGATGCCATGCACTTCCCTGAACTCTCCTTTCTTACAAAAGAAACACTTTATGACATTAGCGGGTGGGTAAGGTCTCATAACCACAGAACAAAGAGACACATTACAGCTGGGGGAATGGTAAAAACAAACAAACAAATAAAACCACACTTCTCTCTGGGGGAGGACTGGATCTAGGCTTCTATAGCAATACCAAATAGCAAGTTGAAATCTCTTACTGCTAAAGGATTGGCGGGAAACTCTCTGCCAAGACCAGTTGCATATATAAGGTAGCTTGGCCTTCATGGGGAGGAGGGGCAGAAATGCTGAAAAACCCGCACTCTTGAAGCATAGACACACAGGAGCTCTTTAAGGCTGAGATTAGAGCAGAATAGAGAGCCTGTTATCCTTGCACTCCGATATAACCTAGCACTGAGTATCAAGCAACAGCATTCTACCTCTGGAGTGCAGTAAAGAACATGGAGAGAGATATCATCTGTGCAAAGGGCACATAGAGTCAGCGGAGAGCTGGGAGCAGATTACAACATTGATTTAAAAAATAGGAAAGAAAACAAACAAGCAACAGCAACCCAGCCTTCTCTCTAAGCATCAGGCCACGCTAGAGAAATTTGAAGCCTGTGTCCCATTGAAGATAGCCAGGGTAAGAAAAAACTAAAAATTCAGATCTCCTTCCACACACTAACAACCCAATAGAAGGGGACTGCTCATTTTCAGGTATAAATACCATTGACCTCAGCCTCTACTGTTCCATACACAATGTTTAGCATTCAAATTTATGAGATACACACACATACACACACACAGCAAACTATTTTCAAAAGCAAAGTAACCAACTAAACCAAACTCACAGATAGCTCAGATATTGAAACTATCAGATAGAGAATTTAAAATATCAGCGATTAAAATGCTAACAGATATAAAGGGCACAGTGGGAAACCTTCCTTAACAAAGTGAGAATTTAAGCAGGAAGATGGAAACTTTAAGTAACAGTCAAATGGAAGTACTAGACTTTTTTTTAAGAAGATAATATTAGAAATTAAGAATTTCTTTGATAGACCAACCAGTACACTTGATACAGCTCAGGAAACATTCAATGAACTTAAGGATAGCCTAATAGAAATCACCCAAATTGACACATAAAAGGAAAAATGATGGGGAGAAAAACATAGTGCAGAGCTTCCAAGGACTCTGGAACAATATCAGATGGTAAATATCAGTCGTGCAAAAGTCCAGAAGAAAAGAGGGAAAAGGGGGTAGAAGAAATTTTGAGATGATAGTTATTGAAAATGTTCCAAAAAGAAGAAAATACACTAAACCGCATATCCAAGAAGCTCAGAGAACCTCAAATATTATAAATACCAGAATAAACAAATACAACACATAGATACATCACAGTCACACTGACGAAAATAAAAATTAAAAATATGTTAAAGGCAGTGAGAATATGGAAAATTGTATTGTGCACCAAGGAACAAACATTAAAAAGTCAGACTTTTTTGTCAGTAACTGTGTACACCAGAAGACACAGCAGTGATATCTTTGAAGAAGGAAACGACAGTAACAATAAAGACAACTGTCAATCCATAATCTGATACGCAGTGAAAATCTTTCAAAAATGCAGGCAAAATAAAGACAGTTTTCAGATTAAGAAAAAAAAGACTGAGATAATGCATTTCCAATGCACCTGATTTACAAGTAATATTAAAATTATTTCTTTAGGCCAAAAGAATGTGATGCTGGAGAGAAATTTGGCCTATACATTAAAAAAATATAAAGAGCTCTTAAAATGGTAAAAATAGCCAGTCCACTGTGCTCCAGTTACCCTGAGATAAAATTCTGAAGACCCTATAACCTGAATCCATTAAAATTTGCCTTTCCTACCCTAAGCCCTGCTCTCTTGATGCATCTTAAATCTTACCCTCCCCTCTATCCATCAACCCATCCTGTTATTAACAGAGGCATGTGACTGCAATCCCTCAGTCTAATACGGGGTCAGGCAACCATCTGCTCTTGTACCAGTGGAATATTAAACTGGTTTCCCAACCTTCTTTTCAAACATACAGTCTCTTGAAGGGTTTTCAAAACAACAACTGCGAAATGGCAATAGTACCTGAAATAAAATTTTATGGAATTATTAAATAAAATGACTAGCATTTGTAAAATGGCAGGTGGCTTGTGAACTGTTTATGTACACATATCTTGTCAACATTTGTTTTGAATTTTATTAACATTTATAAATGTTACTCCTTTCCTACTTCAATATTATTACTGTTATATTCAAAGGAATAGATGGAAATTTCAAAGCCCACAACCTAATCACTGCTTTTACCTGATCTGTCTTTTGTTCTATGTAACTTCCAGAAAAAAGTCTAGAAGTGCAAGTCACTTGGAATTATTTTATTCATTTAATGAGAGTCACATTACCGCATTCAGTAGTCTCTAGAGCAATTAGTAGCAGTAAAGTTTGGAACTAGATAAATTAGCCTAGTGAGCACACTCAACCACTCCTTTACCTCCACCATGCAGTAACCCTTGGTAGGTAATTGTAAGTGAATCATAGCTTGTTGTCGTGTAAGTGATCAGGTATTAAGATCAGCTTAATGCCTTTAAAGTGGATGCACTTTATATTCCCTCAAAGATCTATGGTCCAAAAGTTATCTCCCCTATCTTCTCCTTCCCCTTCCTTCTCCTCTCCTCCCTTCCTGTATCCTTCTCATCATTCCTCTCCTCTTCCCTCTTCCCCTCTCCTCTTCTCCTTCATGTTCTCTCCCTAGATATTCTCATCTACTCTTGTAACTTGAAAGATCATATATAATAAATTCAAACTTATATGTCTAGCCAAAATTTCTTTTCTGAAATTCAGACCCTTAGCCAAATTACATACAAGGGGGTCTTCAAAAATGCATATTGTGAAAATCTAAGCATGGGTTTCAATTATTTTTGCATCAAAATAAAGTTGTACTAGCTTGTTAAAACATGTCTAAGCAAGATCTAGTTTGAGACACTAAGAAGGATAAAACATCAGTTTGAAAAGAGACCCTATCAGAGCAACTTGAATTCTGCTAAAATTAAAGCAAAATTAAACATTAAATTCATGGTAAAGCTTGGGTGGAAGAATGGTGAAATCACTGATGCTCTTCAAAAAGTTTACAGGGACAATGCCTCCCCACAAACGGGCAGTTTACAAATGAATAACTCATTTTAAGAAGGGATGAGACAATGTTGAAGATAAAGCCTGCAGTGACACAACATCCACATCAATTTGTGAGGAAAACATTCATCTTGTTCATGCCCTAACTGAAGAGATCTACAATTAACAGAAGAAACAGTAGCCAACATGATAGATACATCAATTGGTTCAGCTTACACAATTCTGACTGAAAAATTAAAGTTGAGCAAAATTTCCACTCAGGTACCCAAACCATTGCACCCAGGTCAGCTGCAGATAACAGCAGAGCTTTCAATGGAAATTTTAAACAAGTGGGATCAAGACTCTAAAGCATTTCTCCAAACAATTTTGACAGGATTCGAAACATGGCTTTACTAGTAAAATACTGAAGACAAAGACAAAGATAATCAAAGCAAGGTGGAAGTGGTCTAGTCAAAGCAAAACAGACTGGCCAAGAGCAAAGTTCATGGCAACAGTTTCTGGCATGCTCAAGGCATTTTGCTTACTGACTTTCAGGAGTGCCAAGAATGATAATATCTGCTTTTTATGAGAGTGTTTTGAAAAGATAGGCAAAGCTTTAGCAGAAAAGTGTCTGGGAAATCTTCACCATAGAGTCTTTCACCATGCCACTGCTTTTTTTGTTCATCCTTCTCATCAAACAAGCATAATTTGGGGAGGGTTTTGATGGGAAATCATCAGACATACATCTTACGGTCCTGATTTGGCTCCTTCTGATTTATTTTTGTTTCCTAATCTTAAAAGTCTGTAAAGGGCACTCATTTTTCTTCAGTTAATAATGTAAAAAAGACTGCACTGGCACGATTAAATTCCCAGGACTCTTAGTTCTTTAGAGATGGACTAAATGGCTGGTATCATTGCTTACAAAAGTGTCTTGTCATTGATGAACTTGTGTTGAGAAATAAAGTTTATATTTTTTCTACCTTTAAGTCCATTTTTCATGACCATACTGAAGTTACCTCATACTTAATATTTACACCTGGGTGTCATACAAACATCTCAAATTCAGGCAATACACAACTCATTTTTCTTTTTCTAAACTTGGATTTCCTTCTGTCTTCCTGTTATAGATGTCATCTTTTATAGAATATGTATATACTGATGAACTCAAACTCTGTCTCCAACCAAGATATCTTTTCCTAACTGTAGACACATCCACTTAATATTTCTACTTGGTTATTTCATTCTGAGATAACTGAACTCTCAATATTTTCCCAAAATCTGGTCTTCCTTCAGTTCTTCCTTTTCTAGTAAATGGCATCATCCTACACCATCTGCTCATGTTTGATGCCTACAGCTACAATTCCTTTTTCTATCCCCTAATTATATATTGTATCCATCTTCCATCTACTTTTTTTTTTGATCTTCATTGTCAATAACCAAGTTCGAGCCCTCATAATCTATCTCTTGCTTAGACTCCTGAAATAGCCTTATAAATGATTTCCCCGTATTCACACTCCTGCTTGCTAATTCACACCAAATATTGTATCAGAATACCTCAAAGTGTCTTTTAAAAATGTGGATGTCATCATACCAACTGGACTCAAAATGTGTTTTCCCACTACGATTAATATTTTAAATCTTCAATATGGCATAAAACATCCAGTTGGCCCCTAACCAACCCTCTAGCCTCATCTTGTTCTCTTTCCCCCTCCTTCACCACATTCCAGCCACACTGGCAATCTCCCTATTCTTTTCCAAATTATGAAACTTACGCTCCTTGTCAGGAGCGCTGTTTCTCCAAATGTTTACTTGGCTAACAGTCTCATATTTGAGGTTGTATCTTCTTTACTACTTTGCAAACTAGGAAACTTCCTTCTTCAATTTATGCTCACAAAATTCTACCTTATCTCTATTACTCTGATCAAAACTATAATTAACAACCCAATTTTATAATTATTTATTTAATACCTAACTCTTCCACTATAATGCAATTTCCACTACAGCAAAGAACATATTGTTTCATTTGACTTTCATTTATCAGAGGCCTGGTGTTTATCACTGTGATAGGCACATAGATGTTACCAAATGATACTTACTGAGTGCATGGATAAATGAATCAATGTATGTTATCGCTAATGTCAGATGATCTGATTTTTAAATTTTGAATTACCATTTACCGTGATGGAGTTGACCATCTAGAACTGAGATGCTTGCTGCTGAATAAATGGTTCACTTTGAACTTTAAACCTTTGGCTAAGGGTATTTGTTATTATTATTATTCTCTCTAAAAATCTGTGCTACTTGTCTCTTCCAGGATTTTGCCTTCCTAGCTTGTCAAATCTATCTTAAAAAAAAAAAAAACAAAACTCTAGTTTGACCTGCTGTTACCCACATTCTGCTCTGACTTTGTGTCCAAACTTACTCATTCTTATGTGGGAAAGTTTTCTTATCTCCACAATCCTACCTATGCCCTAACCTACTTGAATTCTCTGCTGTTATGGATTCCTGCTCATGCTCAACCTAACACAGAACACTGATTAGCTGTTATTACTTCTAATAAGTCTGTTGTTTTCACTTTGCTTTCTCCAGGGAGATTCTCCTCAGCTCTTTGAGAATGTTCTTAGCTGGCTCCTATTTTTCTAGTTGTTAAGGCTGATGTGTTCATCTGATGTGGAGACGACTGCCAGATATATTGAAAACGCTTTATGCCTTTAACCTTTCTAACTTTTTGTTTCCAGGGTATGATCTATGTCTGTACTCTCAATGATTAAGCCGTCACTTTTCTTCTCTATCAAAAGTGAGAAAACCTCAGTTGTCTGGGAAGCCTGCTGATTTTTTAATTTAATAATTTCACAAATATTGCTTAACAGTAGAAAATATTATTTTTTAATAAGGATAATTAAAGAGCACTTTTTCCTCCTAACTTGTATTATTCATTATTTCAAATGTATCTTCCTTACCTTCTGCATTAGTCCATTCTCACACTACTACGAAGAAATACCCAAGACTGGGTAATTTATAAAATAAAAAATTTTAATTGACTCACAGTTCTGCATTGCTGGGGAGGCTTCAGGAAACTTAACAATCATGGCAGAAGGCAAGGGAGAAGTAGGCACCTTCTTCGTAGGGTGGCAGGATGGAGTGATTGCAAGCAGAGGAAATGCCAGACACTTATAAAACCATCAGATGTCGTGAGAACTCACTGTCATGAGAACAGCATGAGGAAAACCACCCCCATGATCCAATTACCTCCACCTGGTCCCACCCTTGACACGTGGGGATAAAAAGGATTACAATTCAAGGTGAGATTTAGGTAGGGACACAGAACCAAACTATATCACCTTCCCAATTAGTTGTAAAGTGGGAGAGAGAGTATATTTAATTGTTAAAAGCATGAACTTTCATTTCTCACACTTTGGACTTTAATGTCATATTGTACGCTTAGTTATTGTTTGTCCATAGCCAAGTTACCTAAGCTCATTAAACCTCACTGTATTTATTTCTCAAATGAAAATACTACTACTAATAATAATGCCTATGTCATGGGAATATTGTAAGGACTGATTAAATGAAAGAACATGAAAAAAACGTACCAAGCATAGTGCTTGTATATAGTAAGTGCTCCTAGTTGTTAGTTACTATTAATATATAAACTTTATGCAAGCTGTCACCATGCTTTATGCTTCTGTATTGTACACATCTAGTACAGAGCTTGCATAAAATTGGTTTATAATAAATGCTTACTTACTGACTGGCTGATGAATTTAGCCAGATTTTCTGAAGCCTTTTGTTTTGTCAGGTCTCAATGATTCAGAAAATATTATCTCTCACAAGGAGAGCCAAGTGTAGAAACACAAGGGTTATGTTCTGCCAAAAAATGGGACACATTTTAAAGTGTTTGCTAATTTTTATATCAATTTTTACCAACTTCTTAATGCTGAGAGGAAAAAATAAACTCATCAGGCATTTAAGGTAATTTAATTTCAGTATTTATCATAATTTTACCCTTTGTATACTCTGACTTGGTCATACAGGTAATTTTAGTGCAAATTCTATGTAGTGATGGATTTTATTATATATAGATTATTAAATAATTACTCAATAATAGATTGTATCAAGTATAAAAATATCAATTAATTAAACAAACTTCAAATAATACATCTGATTATAAGTAATATATTTTATTATATATATTATCAAGCAATATTAGGCTATAGATTATGAGATTTATTTGTGACTGGTATTTTCCTATATATTTTCCATGATTTATCAAATCTCATGTTTCCAAAAACTTTTCAATGCCTTGTTTTCCTTCAGTAATGATCCGATAACCTAAGAGACTTGAACAGTAATTCAATTTACTGATCTTTATGTATATACATATATACATAAAGTTAAAAAATAAGTTAGAATGTTATGCTTATATTGTATTCTGCTTCTGACTAGAGAGTAGCATGGATGTAATGTGGACTTTTTGAAAACTTTTAAGTTTAGGAGTACATGTGGAGGTTTGTTAAATAGGTAAACCTATGTCATGGGGATTTGCTGTACAGATTATTTCCTCATCACCCAGGTATTAAGCCTAGTACTCATTAATTATTTTTCCTGAATTTTTTCCTCCTCCCACCCTCCACCCTCTGGTGGGCCCCAGTGTCTGTTGTTCTCCTCTATGTGTCCATGTGTTCCCATCATTAAGCTCCCACTTATAAGTGAGAACATGCAGTATTTGGTGTTCTGTTCCTGTGTTAGTCTGCTAAGGATAACGGCCTCCAGTTCCATCCTTGTCCCTGCAAAGGATATGATCTTGTTCTTTTTTTAATGGCTGAGTGGTAGAATATAGACTTTTATACCTTGGGCCTTCGTAATCCATTGCTCTGGGGAACACCCTTGGCTATCATCCACCTAAAGAACTTCCTTTGCATTATTTGTGCTGCAGGTCTATAGGCAATGAATTTGTGCAGCTTTGTTTGTCTGAAAAAAAGTCTTTAGTTGGGCAAGATTGACTAAGAAAGTACAGTAAGTATAGGAAAACAAAAGATAGTGAATCTGTCTGTCCCACTCCATTTGATTAAACCTCTGGGGCTGTGTCACACAATCAATGACTCTTCAGTAGCAACATCTCACCTGGCTTCTGAGACACAGGCTCTCCTCCTTTTCTTTTTGCTTCTCTGTCCATTCATTTGCAGTCTCCTTTCCCAGTGCAACATTTTTATTATCATGCTTTAAAGTTTGAAGGATAAGAATTTTTTTCTCATTTCATCCTCTCTCCCTAGATATTTTCATCCACTCTAATAACATGATCTATCATGTATAATGCATCCAAACTTACATCTCCAGTCCAAATTTCTTTTCTGAGCTCCAGACTCATTAACCCACTTATGTATTTTATATTACACTCGGGTATATATACAGGCATCTCAAACTCAAGCAATCACAATTGAACTCTTGACATTTCCCATAAAATGGGATCATCTTCCAGTTCTCCCTATTCTCGTTAATGGGACCAGTCTCCACCCATCTGCCACTTAGATGTCATAGTTTATATTTTCTTCTTCCTCTATGGACACTAGCACCTTGTTTTGTACTGCATAACTATATACCGAATCCATTGTATTCTTTCTCTCCTCATCGCCATTAACCTAGTCCAAGCCATCATTTTCCCTTGCTTGAATGATTGCAATAAACTCCTAAAAGATTTCTCTGTACCAAAACTCTATCAGAGCACCTAGAAGAATATTCTCAATGTCAGTGTCATCATTATTTACTAGCTTAAAAATGTTTGATGTTTTCTTATTATACATATGATGCTATGCTATGTCTTCAACAGGCCATGGCAGGTCCTGTATCATCACTAGCCTCATCTTTGGCTATTTTCCCCCACTCACTACATTCCAGTCACCCTGGGCACTCTCCCACTCTATCCTAACATACTCTCTGTCTCTGCATAAGCTGCTCTTTTGGCCTGGGATGCTTTTCTCCAGTTCTTTTCTTAGCTAACACCTTATCTGAGGTTGTTATTTAAAATTTACTTCCTCTGAAAAACTCCCAGATCATATTCCCACCAGTCTTCCTTGCAGGATAGGTTAGGTGTCCTGTGATACTCACAATATCCATACTTTTTCTAGGTAGAACTTAGAATAATTGTTATTAAATACTTACTTGTGTAATTATTTATTCAGTATCTCTTTCCTGATGTCTGGGATCACATTTGTCTCACTTACCCTCATATCTCTGCTATTTATCACTGTATTGGGCACATAGGGGGTGCCAAAAATATTTTTTGAATCAATAGGTGAATGCACCAGTGGCACAAGATATAATTTTATTAGGTGCTAATAAGATGGGGAATTGACAACTGTGAGAGGGTTGAACTAATAGATGTGGGCTGCCTACTTCCAAATAATTAGTTTATACTCAACTTCAGACCTGTGGCTCTGAATTCTTACATCTTTAGTTTCTCTTGAGAATAGTGATTCTTTTGTCCCAGGACTTTTGTCTCCTTGGCTTGCCAAGCTTTGTCCTCATTGTTAACCTTGCTTTGATCCTAGACACACACAGTCCTGACCTTTTTGGTCTATGTGGTGTTACCGTTCTGACTTTTGTCCGAACTCATTTTCACTTAAGTGAGAGAATTTCATTTTCTCCATGACTCTCCTTAAGTTCTGTCTCTCCTGAAGTTATTTCTGTCCCAGATTCCCACCTTGCAAGATGCCTAAGACAGAACATTCGTTAACCATTATTAATTCTAGTTCACTCCAGCTTGATGTCTTCATTTTGCTTTCCCTGGGGAAGCTCACCTCAGCATCAGGGCACTCTTCTTTGTCAGCCCTGTTGTTCTAGTACAGTACTTTTTGAACTTTAACCCAAGCATAGATCACTTAGCTGTTTAAAACAGATTTCTAGGCCCCACTCCTAGAGATTTTGATATATAATATCTGGAATGAAGTCTCCAAGTTTGCTTTTCTAGGAAGCTCTCGGGTAGTGGTGAGGCTGATGTTACTAGTCACAGAGCCGTATTCTGAAGAGCCCTAGTCTAAAGGTCTGAAGCAAATCTATTAAAGTATGACTTGAAGTTGGTTAATGGAGGTTTTGAAATACCATGATTGCTTTAATGTTTCTTAGAGCTGGTCATCACATTCTATGCTATTTCTCTATTCTTAGTGGTTAAGCCAGTAGCCTCCTTCCACAACCCATGAAGCCTCCTGTGCTTAGAAACCCTTTTCTACAAGAAATATAGCTACCTATGTTTTTCTTTATGAATATTTAAAAGCATGGTTTTACATTGTTCACTGGTCATCGATCATAGTTAAATTGTATTACATGAGCAGATGTGCATTTTGGTGGCAGAATACATATTTCATGCATTATAGCCCAGGTTTGGCACTGGGTATGACATTTACTAGCTGTAAATTCAATTAATTCATCTGTCAAATTACAAATATAATAATATCTATGTTAAAAATATCCACCTCATAGGAATGTTGCATTGATTACTTAAGTAAAAAATTTAAAAAACACTTAGCACATTGCCTACCACACACAAGTGATAAAAACTGTTAGCAACGATTACAGAAATCCCTGAAAACTGGCATTGTTTTATGCTTCTGTTTACTGTATTGCATGTAGCATAAATCTGGCATAAACTAATGACCAATAAGAGCTTAAAATTACAGAATCTAATTTCTGCCAGAAAGGTAATAAGTATAGTTTTGTTTAAAACTTGTTATAACTCCTGATTCCATTTATTAGTTTTTAAGAGAAACAATAGAATAAGCATTATATGTGTGTGTGTGTGTGTATTTTTCAGAACCAACAGAACCTATATATATGTGCCTATAAATAGAATACATATATTTTAAATATTCTAAATACATCTATTTTGAATATATGTATTCTATATAGGTTCACATATACACACATATAATCTATATGTATAGGTTCTGTTAAATGTATAGATTCTGCTTAATAAAATGTGTGTGTCGCAGTGAGCCAAAATCGCACCACTGCACTCCAGCCTGGCGACAGAGCGAGACTTTGTTTCAAAAAAAAAAAAAAAATGTGTGTGTGTGTGTGTGTGTGTGTGTGTGTGTGTGTGTGTGTGTATACATGTAGACATGTTTACAGAGATTTATTTTAAGGAATTGGTTCAGAGGATGTGGGTGTAGGGTTGGCAAGTAAGAAATCCCCAAGGCTGGCTGAAAGGCTCAAAACTTGGCAGTAGGTGATCCTACAGTCTTGAAGCAGAATTTTCTCTTATCTGAGAATCCTCAGGGTTTTCTCTTAAGACCTTCACATGATTGGATGAGATCTTCCCACATTGTGGAGGGAAATCTACTTTACGTAAAATCAACTGATTGCAGATATTACCCACATCCACAAAATACCATAATAACAATACCTAAATTAGTGTTTGGTTAAGTAAGTACTATAGCCTAGCCAAATTGACACATAAAATTAATAATCACAACTCCTTTATATCTATCAAACAAAAATAAAATTCTCTCATAGTGTGCAATGGCCTCCATGATTCCACTCAAATCTTATCTTCTAATTCTTCCTTCCTCAATTGGCAGACTCACTTTTCAAGTTTATTCTGTTTGAGAAGCCTTTCCCAATCACTCCTTCCCAATGGGAGCTACTAGAAGTAAGCTTTCCCGTCTCTTTTTTCAGAATTATAGTAACTTTTCTCCATCTCTCTGTGCTGTAAACCTCTGTACATTTTAAAAGTGTAATGCATTAACAAGGTGTCAGTTCCATTTTAATAAAGACATAATTTACTTTGAAAACCCCATAATGTTTAATAAATAGGATATTTAATATTTTTGGCAATATATCATTTAGGTAAAATATCAGGTGAACATATTTTTAGTGATGATATGATTTGTTCAGTTTCATTTAAATTATATATTTCCTCACCAACCATGCAAAAAAAAAAAAGTAGTTATTCATTATTAAATTCAAGGGGCAGGCTATAAAACAGCAGGAACTTGGGCAATTCAGCCATCTATCTATCTTGAGAGGAATAAAACACTATTCCACTCTGTACTGGCTGGCACAACTCTTCACCAACAATCCCCCATTTATATATAAAAACAAACTGGCCTTTGTATTTTGTTTATGCTGTCACCAGGGCATTACTCTCAAAGCACTTCAGCAATACAAAAATAATGTTGCTGTCTCTTACAGGCATAACTAAAAAATATTCATGCAAAGTGCTGCTCAATGATCCTATTTATCTCAGTTGGTTTCCTCATTGTACAATGATAGGGTTATTAAACTAAATTTCTTATTTTGCCAGCATCCTGAAGATTTTCAGGTTGTACGCACATCTGGGTAAAACCTTGAATTGTGGAACACTTACTAGGTATGTATAAGAGAAATGACCTAAATTTATGCAAATGAGTTCCCCCTTACCACCACTTCCCTAGTATTTACATTTCTAATGTATTAGGTTGGTGCAAAAGTAATTGCGGTCTAATAGTACTACATTATAATAGAAAAAGATTTGAACGAATGGATGGAATAATGTTATAAGGCTGTGATAAAAATAAGTACTAGATTCAGAGCAAGCAGAAAGGAGAAACTAGAATAACCTCCCTGAAGGGGTGGGGAAGGAGAAGGTCAGAAAATGTTTCATTCATCTAAGTGCTGGGACAAGAGTAGATATTTTCCAGGTGGCAGACAGGGGAGTGATTCCAGGAAGAGGAAGCCACATAAAAGAAGTACTAAAGGATGACACAGCTTGGCTTATGCTCTTTGAAGAATGCTAGAGTAAGGCATAATTTAGAGTGACAGAAAGAGATAAGGGCATTATTGTTTTTCTTATAAGTTTAAAATGTTGATGTCAGAGTCCAAAGTGTTTCATGATCTGGTTCCACATTACATATACAACCTGATTTTTTTTTTTTTTTCCCC